>NC_000015.10:85532187-85683702 GCF_000001405.40 Homo sapiens | reverse complement strand
GGTCAGGAGTTCAAGACCAGCCTCGCCAACATGGTGAAACCCCGTCTCTACTAAAAAATACAAAAATTAGCCAGGTGTGGTGGCACGCGCCTGTAGTCCCAGCTACCCGGGAAGCTGAGGCAGGAAAATCGCTTGAACCCGGGAGGTGGAGGGTGCAGTGAGCCGAGATTGTTTGTGCCAGTGCACTCCAGCCTGGGTGACACAGTGGGACTCTGTCTCAAAACAAACAAACAAACAAAAGAGCAGCTGGGCATTCAAATAAACAATCCGTTATATAGAAAAGGCATCCATTTATACTACTTTGCTTAGGTGTTCTAAAATATTTTAGACATTTCCCACAGAACAGCAGTGATTGCCTCTAGGGCCTCTGTGAGAGGGCAGGTGGCAGGCAGAAGCAGCACCACAAGGGGTCCTGTCAACAGTCAGTTTATTTATATATGCATTGTTTACAAAATACAGCAGTCTGTTTTTAAGATAAGGGGGAAATGGTATGAAAACCACTGCTGTAGAAAGGAGAAAGAATAAGCTATAAAAGCAGTGCAAAGAGAAGCATTCATTGCAAGGGTTCTAAATCAGAATCATAACTGATGCCTCTGTGAAAAAGAAGGCAACTCAGAAAAAACTGCAGGGCAGCCATAGGAACCCCAATTAAACTTCAAGTAGAATATTCTATCTCATAAGCATGAAAACCTAAATAAAAATAATGAGTCAGAACAGAAATCTTTTGCTTGCTGTCAAGTAAAGAATCAATTTCACGCCTGTAATCCCAGCACTTTGGGAAGCTGAGGCAGATGGATCACCTGAGGTCGGGAGTTTGAGACCTGCCTGACCAACATGGAGAAACCCCATCCCTACTAAAAATACAAAATTAGCTGGGCATGGTGGCGCATGCCTGTCATCCCAGCCACTCAGGAGGCTGAGGCAGGAGAATGGCTTGAACCTGGGAGGCAGAGGTTGCAGTGAGCCAAGATCGCGCCATTGCACTCCAGCCTGGGCAACAAGAGCGAAACTCTGTCTCAAAAGAAAAAAAAAAGAATCAATTCGTTTACTTCGACAGAGCTATGTATCATTTACATGTATACAGAAGAAAACAGCTTTAAAGCTTAAAATAGCTAAGACTATTATAAATTGCACACACACACAGACACTAATATGAAACAAAATGTTGTTTAGACTGTTAGATTTAGGAATTAAAAATCCCATAAGCAAAGGGTGCACAAGTTCATAAAGTCAAATAATAGTGTACCCTCACATCAATAAATACAACCAATTTTTATCATGAGGACAGTATAATTAATAAAACTACTGAAGACATTAACTTTAAGGTATAGCCTTCATGACAAAACCACTTTTAATCATTATTCCAAGTTTATCACTCAAAGAAGAACCCAATAAGCTCAATTAACTTAGTTTACGTAATTAAATGGCCTAAGAGATTTTAAATTTTCTTCATTTTATTTCTGGAAAAAGGAGTAACAAATTTATAGTACCTCTCAGTCAGATTAGCACTGGTATTGTGGAAGGTACTGTGGAAGGGCCGTGAATCTAGAAAACAAGGCAGAAAAAAAGTTAGAACCAAAAAATTTAACACTGATGCCGGGTAGAATATTTATAAATTCACAATGACACAGCTAAAGCAAAAACAGCGTGTGAAAGTCAGCACATGGTACCTCCTCCTTCTAAAGGTTTGAAAGAAGGAAAAATTAAACTTGAAACCCTCAAATTAGAACCAGAAGTAGGTAGTGAATTTCTCATGAAGAAAATAAGTTTAATCCAGGATTCAAGTAACTAAAAAGACTCCAAATAACTTTTTCTAATGCTTAAACACATATGAAGCATGTTTAATTCCAGTTCTTATCAATCTTCAGTTTGCACAAACCATCCTTCTGAGATGACATCATAGGAAGAATATAGAATAGGAAATTAAATGTCATATTTTATCCGTTAATACTGCTTTTATATGTTTCTATAAGATCTAGCTCATCTCTAATATTTTCATGAGAATTGCTAGAAATAGATTAGCAAACAGGAAAGAGCATCAGAGCTGGCTTATCAAGTCTTCGCCCTGTCACTAATTTGGGATGAGACCTTTGGATTTCATTTCCTCATCTGTGAAATGAGGGAGATAAAACAGATGGCAAAGTCCTTTCCAGGCTAATAGAGATAAAAATGAATGAGGCAGATGCGTACTTCTTCCTTCCACAACCACTGGACCATAAACTGCCGCAGGTCATTAAAATTCTAAGACTATGTCAGATAGGGCAATATGAAGAAAAAATAGAAGGAATATTATTATTTTTATCTACCACATGTTAATAAAGATTGAGTTACTGAAGACTTAGATGAGAGCAAGACCTCAGTCACAGTGATAAATGATTTTCAATTTTCAGGACATCAGTTATAGAACTATTTCCATGTATATTCCAGGGAAACAAAGGTTACTCTGTAACACTATTTTAACGATTTAGACAAAACACCTTCCTTTTTCCTTGAGGTTGGTTTCAAGGATCTCTGAGATTACTGTAAGCAAAACTTTAATCTGATAGAGATTTGAAGATGTTCTACTACCAGACTACCAGCATTTGGGCCAGGCGCGGTGGCTCATGCCTGTAATCCCAACACTTTGGGAGGCAGAGGCAGGCAGATCACTTGAGGTCAGGAGTTTAAGACCAGGCTGACCAACATGGTGAAACCCCTTCTCTACTAAAAATACACAAATTGGCCAGGCGTGGTGGCGCATGCCTGTAGTCCCAGCTACTCGGGAGGCTGAGGCAGGAGAATTGCTTGAACCCAGGAGGTCGAGGTTGCAGTGAGCCGAGATTGCGCCACTGCACTCCAGCCTGGGTAACAGAGCGAGATTCCATCTCAAAAACAAAAACAAACAAAAAAACTCCCAGATTACCCGCATTTGAAACTCTTCAACTCTCAAACTGTTCCAGATTCTGAACAGAAATCCAAAACTGTAGTTATTATTTTTATCTATTATTGTTACAAATTTTTTTTAGAAACAGGGACTCGCCATGTTGCCCAGGCTGGTCTTGAACCCCTGGGCTCAGGCAATCCTCCTGTCTCCGCTTCCCAAAGTGCTGGGATTACAGGGGTGAGCCATTGCACCTGGCTAAATTTAAATTGCCAACAGGTAGGAATAATACATAAGAAACCTTAAAACAAATTCTAAGTCTTCAAAAGATTGCCTTCCGTATTTTTTTCCTTTTTCCCAGTTTAGGGTTCTTCTTCTGTTCATTTCACTTACAACACATGGTAACAACAGCCAGGTAAGAGGGAAAGATTAGCAGCATAAGAATATCTGGGATCCATCCCCAGGTTCTGCATAATCTAGGTGTAAAATATCAGCATTTTAATCTTATGATGCATTAGTGTACTTAAAAAAAAAATCAAGAGGATAGTTTAAATCAGTGGTTTTAAAACCTTTTCTGCCCAAGGAAACTTCAGTGATAGGAGCAGCATTAAATTTTCTAAGCTTGCCTGGATTCTACTATACATTTAAGCAATTACCTAGTAAGTTACCACCCTAGTAATATGAACTAAATAAAAATAAAATTCATAATGCAGAAAAATACCAACCAACACAAAGCAGGGCCAATCATAAGCTTCCAGCAGATATGTGTGGAATAAATTAAAGACTGAACACATATGTGATTGAGTACTAGGAGAATCTATGACTCCTATAATATTTTCAACTTTTCCACTGCTAAAAATTTTAGTTAAGTTATGATGACCTTTTAGATGTGGTTCTGAACACAGTAATTAATCCACCAATGCCTCTGAAATTCCTAAAGTATCATCAAGTTTTCAGAGCACCTAAGGGTAGAAAACAACCAATGCTACTTCCATGACAAAATTATGGACAAAATAAATGAAACGAAACGAAACTTGTCATTAAAGTTAGCCTGCAAAGTATTATTGTGGGTAAATAATATATTTCAACTAGATTATCTTTCAAGGCATGAAATAACCTGCAGATTTATACTACAGCCAGGAACTTCAGGGTGGAACTACTGGATGGACACAGTTGATATTTTTCAGAGTGTGTTCCGTGGAACACCAGTTTCATGAAATGTTGTATACAGTGCTGCACATATTGTGGTTTTCTAGTTAATACATTTGGGAGAAACAGTATATTGAACACTGCCTTGAAAATCCACAACGTAACACAACGTTAGCATTTTAAACCTGCTTAACCCAGAGTTTCCTAAATTTACTAATATTTGGCCATGAACCAACCCCTCCCTTCTTTTGGTTCTCCCTGCCCACACATAATTCTTACTAGTAGTTTTGAATTTAAGGAACACATTTTGAGAAGATACTTGATTCAAAAAGTTTCTGCAAGCTTCCGTATTTTTAGGGTTCCATTGTGTCGGATTAACTGAATGACCAGTGCTGTTATAGGATCATAATTCTGTATTAGCAGGACCTTGGTTTTTTGTTGTTGTTTTTTTTTTGAGATGGAGTCTCACACTGTCGCCTGGGCTGGAGTGCAATGGCATGATCTTGGCCACTGCAACCTCCGCCTCCTGGGTTCAAGCAATTCTCCTACCTCAGCCTCCTGAATAGCTGGGATTACAGGAGCCCGCAACCACACCCGGCTAATTTTTTTGTATTTTTGGTAGAGATGGGGTTTCACTATGTTGGCCAGACTGGTCTTGAACTCCCGACCTCGTGATCCGCCCACCTCAGTCTCCCAAAAGTGCTGGGATTACAGGCATGAGCCACTGTGCCTGACTGGGACCTTGGTTTATTTGCCATGCTGACCTGGCTACTTCCCGGTATATTACAAATACTTTGATTTTTTTTTTTTAATTTTGTTTTTGAGATGAAGTGATCTCACTCTGTCACTCAGGCTAGAGTGTAGTGGCATGATCTCGGCTCACTGCAACATCTGCCTCCCAGGTTCAAGTGATTCTCCTGCCTCAGCCTCCCAAGTAACTGCGACTACAGGTGCCCATCACTATGCCCAGCTAATTTGTTTGTTTGTTTGTTTTAGTAGAGACATGGTTTCGTCATGTTGGCCAGGCTGGTCTCAAACTCCTGACCTCAAGTGATCCGCCCGCCTCGGCCTCCCAAAGTGCTGGGATTAGAGGTGTGAGCCACTGCACCCAGCCTATTACAAATACTCTGAAATGAAACAGCTTTGAAAATTTCTGAATACCCAAAGTTAGAGTGGATTTTCACAACCTTCCTTCTATTACAACTGGGATCATCTTATTCTGTGTCTATTTTTCAAACATCTTTTATTAGTGAAAAATATACCAAATCCTTAATAAGGCCACCATTTAAAACCAAATTAACTAAACTGTCTTATTGTGCATAAGGCACTTCCCTTTAAGAATAGTGTGAAAATGCCAGCTTGAGAAACACTTAATATTGCTGAAACTTAGAATCAGCAAGTGGTAGGGAATTAGGGTGCCTAATCATATGGGTATGGTAATTGTCTCAGACTCATAATACTAGTTATATAAAAACAATTTTATTTAACTTTCTATTATAAGTGGTTTCTCCATTAAAAGCAATCCTGGAATATTCTAGAAATCTTGCACAATTGAAGACTGTAATTTTCATGAAGGGGGAATTTCTTTCTTTTCCAAGTTTACTAAAATTGATACCTTGTAAAGTTTTTATACAAGGCATTATCAAGTAAGAATGTATTCATCTGAAGCCTACAGCTTATCCAAAGAAGTAAAAATAAAAGTTCAAAAGGAGAGAGAAAGTAGGAGATAAATACGTATATAACTCCGGCTGGGCGCTGTGGCTCATGCCTGTAATCCCAGTACTTTGGGAGGCCGAGGCAGGCGGATCATGAGGTCAAGAGATCGAGATCATGCTGGATAACATGGTGAAACCCCGTCTCTACTAAAAATACAAAAAAAATTAGCTGGGCGTGGTGGCGGACGCCTGTAGTCCCAGCTACCCAGGAGGCTACCCGGGAGGCTGAGGCAGAAGAATGGCGTGAACCTGGGAGGCAAGATCGCGCCACTGCACTCCAGCCTGGGCGACAGAGTGAGACTCCATCTCCATCTCAAAAAAAAAAAAAAAACACAACACACACTCACAAAACGTATATAACTCCCTCCCTCTAATTCATGGGGTCTAATCTTAAAGGAAAGGTATTTTTAAAGAAATGGTCTGAAAAGGAGAAGAAAAAAAGTGTAACAATAGCTTTTAAACACCACAGATGAACATCTAGATATCTGTCCCATGAGACAGAACAACACAACAAGGAAAATAAAATTTACATTGTCAAATAAAAAGTTTTGTGAAATTAGCATACAGTATTATTAGAAAGAGTACACAATGGGATGGGAACACACCCCCTACACCTTTGAGGGTATCTGTGTGCTAGAAAGATTATCTTGTGCCCTGGAATCAGGAGGCCAGTAGCTCAGCGTTAGTACTATACAGAAGACAAAAAAATGTTCTATCCAAACCAATTCTCAAAGGCAAGCATAAAGACAAATGACTTACAAAGGATGGCATGCAAGAGGCTAAAAGCCCCCATACAATTTCTTAGTACCAAGCCTACAGCATTTTCTGAGCTGGTCAGACCTTCAAGAACAGTCACTGGACACCAAAGTTGCTTACTTACTATGCAACTCCTCCTCCTCATCACTCGAATAAGAAGAGCCAAGAGAAAAGAGAGTTTTAGACTTAAGGAGGAGCGGAGAGATGCTGATGGAGATCCGCCTTGCTGGCCGCATCTGCTGCTGAGCTGAGAAGGAGGTTCACAGAAGACATTAGAGCATGCTCGGATTATGCCAGGGCCTTCAGCACATGGGGAAACAGCATAATGTCAATGGCCTATGCGGTTCCGGGAAATGCTGTCTAGGTGAATGATGTAATAATTTGTTTACATTCTCATCTCCATTTCTGAATATACAGAATTCTAATGCAGTTTCTAAAAAATTTGGCTAATAAATACATACCTGTTAGATTATGAAAATAAGAATGATCACAATTCATACCTGGGGTTCTCTTCCTTAAAAGTATACTAAAAACATCTAGTAGTGATGTTCCTCAGGATTTTATATCTGGCTCTCTTCTCCCTCACCCCAAATCTCCTAATTCACTCCACCTCTTAACAACGATCTGCATACAACACACTGGTGACTCACATCTTTCTAATCTGGAAGCCGGATCTCTGTTTAGATCTAGGCTCATTCCTCTCCCTGCTCACCTGTGGGTGGATGTTCCACAGGCAGCTAAAGCTCCAAAAGCAGGTAAGTGAACTTATCTTTTCCTGCAGACCTGTTCCTCCTCCTGTGTTCCTTCATTTAGTGAGTGGTACCAACATCTAACTCATTAATCAAAATGGAAACCTGGGCACCATTCCTGAATCCTTATATCACACTTCACTCAGGCTTCTTCACTTTGTCTTCCAGCTCAACCTCTATTCCTCCCCTATTGCCACTGCTCTCTGCCTTGGTTTAGGACATTGTCTACTACTGTAACTTGAATCCTGCAAAAGCCTTCTACTGGCTGGGCGTGGTGGCTCACGCCTGTAATCCCAGCACTTTGGGAGGCCGAGGTGGGCAAATCATGAGGTCAGGAGTTTGAGACTAGCCTGGCCAACACGGTGAAACCCCGTCTCCACTAAAAATACAAAAAATTAGCTGGGCATAGTGGTGGGCACCTGTAATCCCAGCTACTCAGGAGGCTGAGGCAGGAGAAGTGCTTGAACCCGGGAGGCAGAGGTTGCAGTGAGCCGAGATAGCGCCACTACATTCCAGCCCGGGCGATGGAGTGAGACTCCTTCTCAAAAAAAAAAAGCCTTCTACTGATCCAATCTCTCCTCCCAATACATTCTCACTATGGTCAGCCTGAAGTGTTCTAATCATTATTCGACCAACTTAATCAATGTAAATGATTCCAATTCCCTCAGGCAAGAGGCCCAAATTCCTCAGTCTTGCTTTCCACATACTAATTCACCCAGCTAATTCCCAGTTTCCTTCTGGTCCAAACTTTAATATTACTTTTCCTTAGTCAGCCTTCTGACCCCTTAGGTCTGTCAGTCCTATAACATCAGATGTTTAAGTTGCTGCATTTACCATTTTCTATTAGATTCACTTGCTCTCATCTGTAAATGTGGTGAGGAAAGGAACCCTACCTGTGAGTTCACCCCCCTCCTACCATGGTCTAGCCTGGTGTACGGAAAAGAGTAGGTACTCAAATATTTACTGGATAGACACATTAATAAATGAACTTCCCTTTATCAGACTTTCTGGAATCTCAATGTCCTAAATGAAATGAGAGAAAAAGCCCTGTACCTACCTATTATGAAAGCCACTCCATACCCCAGATAAATGCTAAGTGACATCACTATTTGCTGTTGCAGCTACTCCAAGTAACAGATCAAAGAAATGTTGGTACAAATACACACTAGTTTCTCAGGCAGAGTCTTGTGCAAAAGTAAGATACTACTGTAATGTGTGTTCTGATGTGCCTCCAAATGTCAAACAGATTTAGAAAATGAAAATAAGCTGCCCCTATTACTCAGAATCTAAGAACATCTCCTTCATGTGTCACAAAATCATGGATCATAAGGAAAAATCTTACGTGATGAGTGTCTAGAGTATCCCTGACATATGGAAATTTCCAACATATATATGATATAAAGGAAATGTTCTGGTAACAGAGCAATTCAATTTTACAAGGTAATTGAATTAAAGTTTATATTTATATATGCATTTAATGAACATGCATGTTTTCCAGTCTTACAATTTAATAAAAATGTCAAAAAGAAGTCTGATTACATTTTTGTTCTGATGTATTTGTCAATGTTATCTTTTCCAAACAGAACTGTGCTAAGAATATATATATATATTCACATATATTCATATATATATACACACACACACACACATACATATTTCAGTAAATTCCCATCATAGTTAGAGAAGAAATCCAGAAAACAGAGATAAAATATCCTCAATAGCACTGATGCCTAACTTTCCAGAGGCCCACCTTGATCTTTGGTCACACAGATCCTTTACCTTTTTAAAGATCTGGTACAGATATGTAACTGCCACAGTTCAGCTCTCAAGATGGCCTTAGCTGTCATAGTCTAATGCATGCCATACAACTACAAGCTACTACTCCCATCACAACATGCTTAAGAAACTTGGCAAACTCACATGCCATAAGCAAAGGTGTAAAAACAACCCCAAGGGAAAGTGCCCTTCTTTGTGATACACACAGAGTATTCCTTCTGAAATGCTTGGGGTCAGAAGTATTTCAGATTTTGAATTTTGGAATATTTGCATATATATGATGAGACATCTTGGGGAAGGGAACCACATCTGAACATGAAATTCATTTGTTTCATATACAGCTTATACACATAGCTCTAAGGTAATTTTATATAATATGTTACATAATTTTGTTAAGGCCTTATATGTGGAATTTTCCACTTGTGGCATCATGTTGGTGCTCGAACGTTTCAGATTTTGAGAAATTTCAGACTTTCAAATTAGGGATGCTCAACCTGTAACAAACCATGCAAAATGAAGGGGAAAATGAAATCTCATTAAGAAGCATATGAAGTTAAAACGTCTAACGGGTCCAATTCCCCTTTCAACATTATCACCACTAATGTGTTTCCAGGGATGCAATCAAGCAGATTCTCTATTATTTGAAGCATCTTCTGGGTGGGAGCAATGAAAAGGTTAAAAATACAGCCATAGAAAGGGATCATCTGGGTCGGGCACGGTGGCTCACGCCTGTAATCCCAGCACTTTGGGAGGCCGAGGTGGGCAGATCATGAGGTCAGGAGATCGAGACCATTCTGGCTAACATGGTAAAACCCCATCTCTACTAAAAACATGCAAAAAAAAAATTAGCCGGGTGTGGTGGCGGGCACCTGTAGTCCCAGCTACTCGGGAGGTTGAGGCAGGAGAATGGCATGAACCCGGGAGGCAGAGCTTGCAGTGAGCCAAGATCGTGCCACTGCACTCCAGCCTGGGCAACAACAGAGCAAGATTCTGTTCTGTCTCCCCAAAAAAAAAAAAAAAAAAAAAAAAAAGAAAGAAAGAAAGGGATCATCTGTAATAACTGAATTCTATACATGTGAAAATAAAATTTATTTTTAAGTTCTATCAAGAAACCATCTATGTTTCCCAGCACAGTGGGAGAAAAAGGCTCCACACAATCTTTCTCTGATGCAAGGAGGAGAAATGCTGTGAACACATTCCATGGAGAAGTTTCTCTCAGGGCAGTCCTCCCAGGCACCAAGCCTCATGACACAGCCAGCACCTGTGCTACTGCGACCCCCTAAAAAATTGCCGGCAAGTCACGCTCATCATATCCCACCCTTCGAATCAAGACAGGAAGTCCAAGACAGGAGACACTGCAGCTTTTCCCGTCCTCTGTGGTTCCTAAAGAAGCTACTGCTTGCCTACTCTCCACCCCAGAAAGTGATACAGAAATATTTTAGTCACCCTCTCTATTCAGTATTTTCCTTTACATCAGTAGATTTTTTAAAAAACAGATCCCAGCTTAGAAATAATGCTACAAGTTTGTCTGTTTTTCTAATCTAGCAAATGACCCAACAAAAGACATTCTGGACAACAGCTCAGTGGAAATACATTTCCAGAAATGCTCAAGTTTTACTGACAGCTGTGATAAACTGTGGTTGAGGAAACTAATAATTTCTTTAGAAGGAAAAAGAGCACAGGTAAAAGCTGGAAAGCAGTGAGATTAGGATGAGTTTAGAAAACATTCTGTTCCTAAACAAGCACACTCATAATAAACAGCCAAGTGCAAGACAACAAGGGACAATGTCCTAGCAATGGTGAGCAATGTTTAACCTTGCTTAAGCTCTGGGCAGAGAAAAATGGACCCTGGCACTGTTCTGGTTATTGTGAACAATCACACTCCACAATGACAGCATGTGCTCATTATATGACAGAAAATATGCTATGGACTTCAAATGAAGTCAGATTTAAGCCACATCACATTATCATCCCCATTTAACAGTTGAATTGATGCAGAGAGTTTCAGTAACAAGCTCAAAGTAATACAGCTACTAAGTGTGCTTAAAATATCAGTTAAAATATTTTGAGTGTACCAAACATTTTAGGCTTTAAAAATCACTGAGGATTTTATTTATGACACTATTTCAGTTAGGGAGACTATGACCATAGATGAATCATGCTGAGTATTTAAGTGACTTGGAATTGAACACTTGAGCCTGGAGCAAATTATGAAGTATCAGTTATCCCGATGCTTAAGGCATACCACACACACTTTAACACAAGTTTTAGTCTTCTCTTTAGTCAGAATTTTAACATTTCCAAAATGATGTATTATGTTTCTAGTGTAGAATAACAAATACAGGTGGGAAACTATTTTAATTGTATATAGGAGGAACTAAGGAGAAATAGTGACATTAAGGTTGATGGGTCCTTCTGTTGCAGCATATGCTATTAGGAAGGTACGTGGGGCTAGCTATCATTCCAGCCTGCATGAAACGTACACTACAAATCAGAATGAGGGTATTACATTTGGATGAAAGGAATAAACTCTTGCTTGAAGCTCCACTTTTGACAGCAGTCTACTACTGCAATCAGGTTCCCTAGGTGAGTTGAGCAGAAAAATTCTCAGCAACGGGAAGAAAAGCTCTATGTGTCAGAACCTCTAGAATAGCGCTTTGGGGAGTTAGCTGTATTATTTATAGTGTTTGGATAGCAACTGAAAACACAGTCAAAAAGCACCGTGTTTTGTGAAGGAAAAATAATGAAGTGTTTCATCCACAAGGAAAGAAAGCATGTCACAAAATATAGGAAAAAGGTCTCTCTATGGGACACATTCTGTTGGTACTAGTTATCTGTTGCTGTAGAAGTACAATATCCACTATGTCACGACACTTGCTGGTCACGGAAGGAGGGGACGCTGAGCTGAAATGTCTCACTTAGAGTGCCTTCCTGGCCTTCTCTGGCTACTGAGTGCTAGCATTCTGGCTTATCAAATTCACTGCAAACTATTCAATTGTACTTTCCATTCTATACAAGCCAAACATCTAACTCAAAGCCAAATTAAAAAAAAAAAAAAATCCAAACAAGCAAAAACAGGAAAAGCTATTTCTGTCACAGTTCTGGGGGACATATCTTTGAAAATAAGTCTCCGTTAGACACCTTTTGTCAAATACGCTAGATTTGTATTTGAAATATTAATCACATGAAAACAAGAAAAAAGTTAACAGAATCACCCATTATGTCTTTCTCTCTCTCTCTTTTTTTTTTTTTTTTTTTTTTTTTGAGGCAGTGTCTCACTCTATCACCCAGGCTGGGATGCAGTGGTGCCATCACAGCTCACTGCAGCCTTGACCTCCTGGGCTCATGATCCTCTTGCCTCAGCCTCTGAAGCAGCTGGACTACAGGCATGTGTCAGCATGTCTGGCTAGAGTCATCCATTATGTCTTAATTCCACTGTGAAAATTTTAAAAATTAGGATTCCAGTAAGTCATGAAGTGAGATGGAACATCCCATGAATATAGGGCATCTGCTTCTGTCACCAACTCTTAAACTGAATTATATCAGGGAACAATGAGGAAACCCCATAAACACCAGGAGAGTGTGTTTATTTCCTTTGCTTCAGCCTCCGAGACACATGGTCTTTCAGCAAAGAACATAATGTATCACTCACTCCCTCTCTGATGAGAATTTAATCTTTATATCCAGATCCCACACAGCAACTACTCATAAAAAAATCAACATTTAAAAAATAAAAAATGAGGCTTCTCAAAGAACAAGTTGCCTTTTTTGTGACAAACAACACTGATCCAATCCAAGTATGTTTTTGAGCATCACAAGGCCCTGCGCTTATGGATGCCATGACATCTCTACATAACTTCCAACACCAGTTGATCTGAATCCGCATACAGGTCCACTAACCCCTTTCAGATGCAATCCTACTGGCCCTCACTGAACTAAATCTCTGTCTCAGTCTTGCTTTGTCCTTCTTGAGCTTGACATTGTTGAAAAGCTCAGGTCAGTTACTGTGCGAGGTTTCTCCACTGACAAGTTTATGGAAGACAGAGATCAACTGAGGAACTTTTTAGATTAAAGTGGACTAAAGAGATATGACAACTTAATTCAATGTATATTCTTAGATTGAATCTTGGACCCAGAAATAAGTGAGAAAATTTGAAATCTGAATAAGGTGTACATACTAGATAACACAATTTTATCGATATTAATTTCCTGATTTGGATAATTAGACTACTGTAATACAGTACTACCACAGTATATAAGAGTATAAGGTACTCTTATATACTAATGCTAGCACTCAGTAGCCAGAGAAGGCCAGTATATGGTACCCATATACTATGGTAATATAAGACAATATCTTTGTTTTTAGGAAATATACACTAAATTAGAGGTAAAGGAGAGTTATGGATATAACTTATTCTCTCAAGTGTTTCAGAAAAAATCTTTAGGGGAGTGATAAAGAGAGGGAGAGAGGCTGGCGAAACAAGTATTCTAACATTTGAGGACTGGACGTGAAGAATACATGGGAATACTTTGTACTATTTTTGCAATTTTTTCCCCAGTGAATATTATTTGTAACTATTTTTCAAGTCTAAAATTATTTCAAAATAAAAAAATTTTAAAAAGTGTGTCAGATTCATGCCCACAAATACAATAAACTTAATGTATTAGGGATATTTTTAGGTAAAAGGAAGAAGATCTCAAGATAAACTCTATGCCACCTTTTCTGTTTAAGTGCTGAGCCATTCACTCAAAGAAGTAGTAAGCAAATTTTGGCAGGTAATGTTATGGGGCCTTAAAGTGAGAAAAATAATAGGAAGAGTGGTTAAGATTTAATATATTTAATTTTTTTAAAAAGTAGTATACTCACTGTCCAATCCAGGATGGCTGATTGTCATTAATGAGATGGATTTTGTCAATGGAGAGGAAATGGCTGATGTACAGTAATTAAATCCCTGCTGCTTAGATCTGTGACATATCTGTGAAGTAAAAAAGTGAAGAACACGTTGTAAGCATATACTCTCATATTTCTAGATAAGCATAAAACCTTATAATTAGACCCACATAGTAAAATAAGGCAGTGAAGAAGCGGGTGAGAGCACAGGCCTTGTGGTCAGACAGACTTAGGTTAAAGTCTGCTCCTGCTACTTAACAGCTGCTCAGTTTCAGAGAAGTTACTTAGCTTTTCTGAGGCTTAGTTTTCTCATCTGTAAAATGGGGATCATTAGAGTATCCATTCTTTACAGTGGTTCTGTATCCCTCATAGCATCTAACAATGTTTCAAACTTAGTAAGTACTTAATAAATATCTGCTGGATGCATAATCACTTAAAAATAATTTCACTGGAAATATCAAACTACATACAATACTTGTTCTTTGAAAATCTAAATATTTCTTCATACAGATATAGTAGAATATCAGTAATAGTATTCTGATTTTACTTTATTTATTATTATTTTTTTTTAGACAGAGTCTCACTCTGTCACCCAGCTGATGTGCAGAGGCATAATCTTGGTTTACTTACTGCAACCTCTGCCTCCAGGTTCCAACAATTCTCCTGCCTCAGACTCCTGAGTAGCTGGGATTACAGGTGCGCGCCACCACGCGCAGCTAAATTTTGTATTTTTAGTAGAGATGGGGTATCACCATGTTGGTCAGGCAGGTCTCGAACTCCTGACCTTGTGATCCGCCTGCCTCGGCCTCCCAAAGTGTTGGGATTACAGGCGTGAGTCACCGCACCCAGCCTATTTTTATTTTTGAGACAGAGTCTCACTGTGTCGCCCAGGCTGGAGTGCAGTGGCATGATCTCGGCTCATTGCAACCTCTGCCTCCCAGGTTCAAGCGATTCTCCCGCCTCAGCCTCCTGAGTAGCTGGGATTACAGGGGTGCACCACCACGCCCAGCTAATTTTTTGTATTTTTGGTAGAGACAGGGTTTCACCATGTTGGCCAGGCTGGTCTTAAATCCCTGGGCTCAAATGATCCACCCATCTCAGCCTCCCAAAGTGCTGGGATTATAGGTGTGAACCACCAGGCCTGGCCTCTGATTTTAAATAATTGGAAATTGAGATTCAAGTAAAGTGTCTTAAGATCACAAACAAAACAACAGTGTATCTGGAAAGAAGCCTAAATCTCTTCCCTATCCTCTTCTAAGATGATAGTGATTCTACATGAACGTAAAGGTAACTGAAATTTGATAATTTAACTCTCTCAGTAAATTCACAGCAGCTTTGAGACCATGTAATCCAACCACCTGCAGAAGTTCCTGGTACAACATCCCTGAAAGACAGTCATCTAGTGTCCACTAGCACACTTCTGGTGATAAGAGCCCATTCCAATTGTTAACTGACTTTATCATTAATCCTTTCCCTTCACAGAATGAAATCTGCCTCCTTATGACTCACATATTGAAAGGGAAGCAGTGAAAAATCCGTTACTAGCATGAACTTGACTCACTTAGGCCAGACTTCTGATTATTTAGAGCTTGTTTCATGTGTAACCATGGCAGCTGAGGCAAACAGTTGCTATGTTTCAAATACAACTGTGAGGTCTAAAAAATGACCTCAGTGAAAGGCAGAGACTTTTAACAGGAAGTTGGCTACAGGCAACTCGTCTAGATCAGAGTGAAACAAGCAGCTCAAATGCCTACTCTGAGGTTCCATACAAGATAAAAACTATGGGTAAGTAGAGATTCCAGGAAGGCTAAGCATAGCAAGGCACTAAAACAACAACTTTATCTAGAAAGACTGAATCAGAAAGTCCACTTCAGAAAGACAGTCCATTTTAGAAACACATCAGTAGTAGTAACGTCTTACTAAAATGCAGGGTTATCTGTCAAATTCCCGGAAATATCCATCTTAGAAAAGGTATCACATAAATAATATTAAGAAAATTAAATCATTCTTATTTCCTCCTTGAAAACTCACCTACTCCAAAAACCTGGAAAAAAGCAGAGAAATTAATAGCCAGGAACTCTTGAGTTTAATACTGTTCAGCTAATAGCCACTTACACGGCCTTAGGCAAGTCATTTAAATGAGCTGGAGCTAAATCTGAAGGGATATGTCAGTCTTGGCCTATGATTCTGTTTACAAATCCACAATTTTGGTATTTTACCTCATCTTGTAAATGATTTCCAAAGGATTCTATAAATTTGAAATGCAATTTATTTTAAAGATTTTTTCACTGTTTATTTACCCTTAGCAAAGCTGTGCTCAGTAGCCATCCAAGAATTGTTCCTATTTTTTTCTTCCTTTCTCTGTTACCATTAGGCTGAGTAAATCTAAATCACTTGCTTCAACAAGCATATTCTTCATATTCTTATTTTTTCTAACTCCTTCTGAAGTATCAGAACAAGTAGAAAAATTTTTAAAAGGGGCAAAATTCACTCTTCAACTGATTTTCATTATGCCTAAATCTCTTTATTTGTCTGGTCTCACACAAGCATAAGTGTTACAATAATTACTAAGATAATCCTTCAGTGTCAAGTTTATATTTGGTCATGTTAGTGCTTCATAGTAGGATGCAATAAAAATTTAAACTTCTACACAAAGTCCTACTCAGCAAATCAAGGAAGAGGTTGTCAATGTTTTTGTTTAATTAGAAATGTATCATTAGATTCTTGCCTCAAACTCCAGTCATCTATTCAAAAACAGTTTTTTTTTAAATTGTAAGTGTTTCATTTGGAGGAAATAAGATGCATCCCAGAATGCTTTCGTAAATTAATCAGTCTTCTGACCCAAGAGGAAGAGAAAAGACTTGCAGTGAGGTACAATGATATAAAAGCAAATAATTTGAATTCTCAACTCAAAAGCTCCCCAAGGGATTGTCAAAAGTGGTAAGTGATAATGAGGACATCCAGAAGATGAGAACTAAGAAGTCACTTTGATTTGGCTGACATGGAAATCCATGACCTTCAAGACAGGAGTTTCAAGAGACTGGTAGCAGCAGAAATTAAGAGATGATTAGATGGTGATAAAGAGAAGGCAAAGGCCAGGCACAGTGGCTCACACCTGTAATGCCAGCACTTTGGGAGACTGAGGCAGAAGGATCACTTGAACTGGGGAAGTTGAAGCTGCAGTGACCTGTGATGGCACCACTGCACTCCAGTATGGGCGACAGAGTGAGACCCTGTCTCTAAATAAGTAAATAAATAAATAAAATTTTAAAAAGAGAAGGCAGGGAGCATAGATGCTCTCTTAAGAATTCTGGTAGGCATCAGAGTGAACAGGCGACCTACAGAAGGCAGAAAATTTTTGCAATCTACCCCTCTGACAAAGGGCTAATATCCAGAATCTACAAAGAACTTAAAAAAATTTACAAGAAAAAAAAAACTCCATCAAAAAGTGGGTAAAGGATATGAACAGACACTTCTCAAAAGAAGACATTTATGCAGCCAACAGACACATGAAAAAATGCTCATCATCACTGGCCATCAGAGAAATGCAAATCAAAACCACAATGAGATACCATCTCACACCAGTTAGAATGGTGATCATTAAAAAGTCAGCAAACAACAGATGCTGGAGAGGATATGGAGAGATAGGAACGCTTTTACACTGTTGGCGGGACTGTGAACTAGTTCAACCATTGTGGAAGACAGTGTGGCGATTCCTCAAGGATCTAGAACTAGAAATACCATTTGACCCAACGATCCCATTACTGGGTATATACCCAAAGGATTATAAATCAAGCTACTATAAAGACACATGCACATGTATGTTTATTATGGCATTGTTAACAATAGCAAAGACTTGGAACCAACCCAAATGTCCATGATAGACTGGATTAAGAAAATGTGGCACATATACACCATGGAATACTATGTAGCCATAAAAAAGGATGAGTTCATGTCCTTTGCAGGGAGATGGATGAAGCTGGAAACCATCATTCTGAGTAAACTATCGCTAAGGACAGAAAACCAAACACCGCATGTTCTCACTCATAGGTGGGAACTGAACAATGAGAACACTTGGACACGGGGCGGGGAACATCACACACCGGGGCCTGTTGTGTGGTAGGGGGCTGGGGGAGGGATAGCATTAGGAGAAATACCTAATGTAAATGACGAGTTAATGGGTGCAGCAAACCAACACGGCACATGTATACCTATGTAACAAACCTGCACGTTGTGCACATGTACCCTAGAACTTAAAGTGTAAAAATAATAATTTTTTAAAAAAAGAATTCTGGTAGGGATGGGAAGGAGAGAGAATCAACTGACATTTCCTGGAAGGTGTAGTAAGAAAGTTTTGTTTTTAATTTTTTTCCTACAAAGGAGAAACTTGGGATATGTTTTAGAGAATTGGGAAAATTAATAACGATATGTAGCGTATTTCAAGATTCAGTTTACTATTGAGAGGGTAAAAGATGGTCTCAGATAAGAAGGAAAAACTCAATTTAATATCCTGGATACTTTCCTAATTTTAAAAAGTGTGCCTTGATGGAATATTTAAATCTATGCAGATTAACGTAGTCTTTATTTTTTCTTTTTTCTTTTTGGAGACAGAGTCTTGCTCTGTCACCCAGGCTGGAGTGCAGTGGTGCAATCACAACTCAATGCAGCCTTAAACTCCTGGTCTCAAGTAATCCTCCTACCTCAGCCTCCCGAGTAGCTGGAACTACAAGCACAAACCACCATGTCCAGCTAATTTTTAAATTTTTTGTAGAGATGGGGGGTCTTGCTATGTTGCCCAGGCTGGTCTTGAACTCCTGGGCTCAATTGATCCTCCTGCCTCAACCTCCCAAAGCACTGGGATTATAGGCATGAGCCACCATGCCTGGCCCTTTTTAATTAGGTGCTAAACACTTGGTTTAGTGCTAGATTAAGTATATCATATAATGGGTAAGTAATCATAGCTACTAGCCTTATACTACCAGAAGCCTTGCCTTCTATGTTCATATTTTGTGAAATATATTTTTTCCAAATTAGACATATTTAAGACTTACCTGCTGATCAAACATCCTATGTTCTCTCTGGTCTGACTCCAGATCCTCTTCTGAAAGTGACACCAAAGAGTCAACCCGTTCCTCACCACTGAATGGGTGTCTGAGCTCTTCGGCATTTGCAGAGCTTACTTCTAGAGATGAGGATGGCTTGTTTCCGACACCAGCTCCTCCTGTCAAGCCTTCTAGACTGAAACTGAACATAGGGCACAAAAGTTAATTCATTCTATTTCTGGGTCTCAAAAACAAAGGAGGACACAAAATCCCTTTGGGTATATCTCCCTTGTTTGTGTATTATTTCTATGTCAGCTAGCAAAACTGTCTAAAAGGGCATGGCACAAAGAATACTACCTACCTTTCCCCCACAGATCTTGGAATACTGAGAAAGAATACTGCACTTAGATTTTCTTACCGCATTAAATTTATCCAAATGTTGAACCACCTAAGATCACTTCTCAGATTTTTTTCTACACACTATATGGACAGACCATAGTTATCTGATATTTTATATATGTGTTTTTTCCTTGATCTAATTAATCTTTGTGAATCTAACTCTACTAATGCCAAGTAATTAAATGTCACAGAGAAAATACGAGCTTAAGTAACTTTCAGAAGGCAAACTGGGTAACTTGCCCTTATGTCCATTAAGTGGACCTTTATAATTTTACATTCAAGTTGACCTTTATAATTTTACAGGTATGCTTTCACCCAAGAAAACCCAAGTGTTACTCATGAGTGTTACCATCTATGCACACCTGGCCAAACAACTGCTGACAGACTTCTCGAGAATTGTTAGTTGCAACAGGCACATATAACACCTTAATGAACAAATGCTGAAAAGCAACCTGGTCTAAGAGTAGAAAGAGTTGTAATTTTTTGCCTGGATATTGGTAAAGGGAACAAAGGCAGTCAGGATTTGGCATTTTAAAGAGGATTCCTCCAAGACAGATTCTGTGGTTTGCAGAATGAAAAGCATTTTCAGTAAGCAGAAGGCTACAGAGACAGGTTAGCGATTTAACCTCCTTGGGTTGCTAACTAGAGTAATTCACATCTGTTACAACTGCAGCGGAAACTTCTTTAAAATAACCAAGATCTCGAAACATAGCTGTAGCTGACCATGTTCTCCGCTAACAATGAGCTGGAATTCAATCTGAAGGTATACTGAAGCTACTTAGTTACCTCCACTCAAGGAAAACTGTACAGAAAATTGCTCCAATTAAGTTCATACCTACCAGTCCAGGACTTGTATTTGCTTTTTTAAATTATTTATTTATTTATTTTGGTTTTGTAAATAACTTAACGAACTGAAGCCATATAACTCTATTTTCTCTAGTAGGTAAACTAAACAATGGATATGTTTTTCTTCAATATAATAGAAATCATGACTAACTACAAGTAAATGACTCTGTAAACCTCATTTTCTTTCTTTTCCTATTTTTTTTTTTTTTTGAGACAGAGCCTCCCTCTGTTGCCCAGGCTGGAGTGCAGTGGCACGACCTTGGCTCACTGCTACCTCCATCTCCCGGATTCAAGTGGTTCTCCTGCCTTAGCCTCCCAGGTAGCTGGGATTACAGGCACCTGCTACCGTGTCTGGCCAATTTTTGTATTTTTAGTAGAGATGGGGTTTCACCACGTTTTTCAGGCTGGTCTCCAATGCCTGACCTCAGGTGATCCGCCCACCGCAGCCTCCCAAAGTACTGGGATTACAGGTGTGAGCCACCATGCCTGGCCTGTAAAACTCACTTTCAATACCAGGGATAAGAGGAGGGGCTAAGTGAAGAAGAAATTACTTGAAAAGCCTAAGAAAACCAGATCTATGCTTACTGCAAAACTTAATTCTGAAAATGTTTTAGTAATTAAATCTGGCTGTTCAGTTGAGAGAAGAATATGAAACGATGAGGAGTCTCTGAATTTGGAATCTACACAGAATGGTGGATTTAGAAGCATAATAGAAATCAGTGCATCTTATTAGCTGCCTTGGTTCTTTGATTGTTTTCTTCGGGTTCCAAGAATTTTTAGGATCTGAAAATCAAGACAAACCAAAACAGAGAGAGATAAATCTGTGCAGAAAACATCAAATCTATGGCCATTTGAGACATACAGGATGCATCACCCGACTCTTAGGCTGCATCCCTTCAGCTGAGTTAGTGACACCCATAGCAAAGGCAATGAAATGCTGTGCTCACAGACAAAGCAGGCTGCCCATATGCATCCCAGCCACACAGAAGCCAGCTCCAAGCCAAAAGCCCTGATGGCGTATTTTATGGTTCCCCATTTGGTGGCGGGACACATAACAATATCATACCTTCTGTAATTAAAGTCAGCACTCAGGCCAGCAGAGTACTGCACACCAGAGGGGCACCAGCTCATACTGGGGATGACATCAAAGACAGAAACAGAAATGCAGGGAGAAAAGAGGAAACAGGAATGGGGTTATTAGGTTTAAAAACGAAGGGCATAGTTAGAGACAGACGGATTTATGCGATCAACAAAAAATTTAGGAATGTAACACTGACAATTTTTAAAAAGGCTATAATAAAAAATCATAGAAACTTAAAAATATTTTCTTCTTGTCTAGACAGCATTGTGGAAAAAGACTGTGGGTTCTTTACAGTATCACCAGTTCAACCTGAAACCCAAAAATTCCTTCTAGTGAACTGTGGCAACTACCTATGGCTTGCTCTTCAGACATGAGAGGTATTTCAAACTCCACCACTGGGTACAATCTCTCAGTACATCGCATACTCCCACATCACCCTTACCATAGTATCTCTAATCCTAGACTTTTTAAAAGAGACAGTGACAAACTGTGCTCTGGTGGGCTCATGGAGTCATCCGGTTTTTTTTTTTTTTTTTCATGTGTTTCCATTACGGATCCAACCAAACCAGACATTAATAGATTCTGCATGATAAGATACTTAGTCAACACTGGCATCCATCTTCAAACCCTACTCACTAGGCTGTTACGTTAAAGATAAAGCATATAACACTGATTATATATTTGCTTATGTTTTAATGATAATGAAAACTACCCCCCAAGACGGAGTTTCACTCTTGTTGCCCAGGCTAGAGAGTAATGGTGCGATCCTGGCTCACCGCAACCTCTGTCTCCCAGGTTCAAGCGATTCTCCTGCCTCAGCCTCCCGAGTAGCTGGGATTACAGGTGTGCACCACCACACCCAGCTAATTTTGTATTTTTTTTAGTAGAGATGGGCTTTCACCATGTTGGTCAGGCTGGTCTCAAACTCCTGACCTCAAGTGATCCACCCGCCTCAGCCTCCCAAAGTGCTGGGATTATAGGCTTGAGCCACCGCACCTGGCTGATAATAAAAATTTAAAAAAAAGGAATTCTATGGCACTGAGTTAGAAATGTATCTTTTTAATTTCAAGTTTGTTTCCATTTTTCCTACAAGATAAAAAAAATCCATCTGATCATCTACTTCCTTGAATATCCCAGTAGCGGTGTCCATTATCAAGTAGCAAGGACAGAAAATCTGGGGTTGGAAATGCTAAGTAAACACCACTAGCTAAAACAATAATCAATTCAAAATATTGTGTGTTCTATAAAGGAAACTGCATGGAAATGTTGGGATTTTTATTAACAAAAGCTATCATTAAAAAAATACCCTGCTACCTGGGCCATAAAGTTCTAGGTGATGTGTTTTTGTTTTCTGAGAAGAGATAAAAGCAGAGCTTGTGGACAATAAAAACACTCGGCTCAATAAAACCACTCGGCTCCCTCCAGAATCTTGCAGATGGGAAGGCCTGGCACCAAAAACACCTATACTGGACACATCTAATAACTTTGTTTTGTTGTCAAGTGGGGTTTTTGGCTGGAGAAAGGAGACAAGGAAAATGGGTGGGAGGATGTAAGAGCTACCCCTATGGCTCTTTTAAAAAATCTTTACCATATCATTTAAAACTAAATAGTATAAAACATTTTAAATCAGATTAAATTAGTGGTATAAAGCTTACAAGTGCAGAAGCAGAAAGTAAAAATATAGTGGAGACACTTCGCTGGTCTGGTAAGTGGGATGACACTGACATAATTTACTTGTGTGAGGAGAAGATATATATTTTACAAACACAGATAAGACTCAGAAGTCCATTCTTTGACATTATTAACTTAAATTTTAAATCGCCAGTTAATAAATAGGCATATTTTTACCTAAATATCCAACTTCTTTTTTAGAAACAGAATGTGGCAAATCAGTAACTGAACATACACTGCCAAACCATCATTCTTAAAAATAATCTCCTTCTACAGATTTAAATGTTCCTTTACTTCCAGGATATGACAATGATGTGGAAGACTGTGAGGAGATTTAACACGAAGAGAGTGAAAAACAATAGGGAGATAGGAAGACAGACATAAAAGCTTTTTTTTTTTTTTTTTTTTTTTTTTTGAGACTTAGATTCACTCTGTCACCCAGGCTGGAGTGCAGTGGCACCATCTCAGCTCACTGCAACCTCTGCCTCCCAGGTTCAAGCAATTCTCCTGCCTCAGCCTCCTGAGTAGCTGGGATTACAGGTGCATGCCACCACACCTAGCTAATTTTTGTGTTTTTAGTAGAGATGAGGTTTCACCATGTTTCCCAGGCAGGTCTCAAATTCCCGGGCTCACGCAATCCATCTGGCTCAGCCTCCCAAAGTGCTGGGATTACAGGCGTGAGCCACCGTGCTCGGCCAAGATATAACAGCTTTTCTAAGGTACCAGGAAGGAAGCTGCAGATGGTCTACAACGTCTGCCCTTTCTGGTAACAGAAAACTCCTTTCATAATTAAGAGTATTTTGGAAAGCATCGTCATTTCCTCAATTCCTCAATTAGTAGGGATAATATTTAGTAGTTCTTTGGCTTTGAGATTTGTAAAGTTCTAGATTAAAAAACAACAAATGTCCCTCCTCCTGCCTTATAATACCTGTTGTAATGTTTCAATTTTATAAAATTTTAAATTATACATTACGTTCTTCCTACAAAAATAAGTTTCACTAGGGATGAAACTGGCTGGAGTTGTTGATGACACTCCATGTATACACTAACTCAGACTGCATCCAGCAATCTGTCGTCTCCCACCTTGTCATCAAGTGCATGTTTTTAATAAGCTCATATTGAAGAGCTTTAATAAAGACCCAGACAAACGTATCTCCAAAGAACCTTCTACTGAAAAACTTATTTAGTAGAGATGGGGTTAAAACTTATTTAACAACTTATTTTCTGGAAGAACAATTTCATAGGAATCATGATTATCTGAAATTCATGAGAATATCTGAATTTCAGCTCAATTTCTTGCCTAAAATCTGGAATTAAAGAAAGCATCCACTTGAAAAAGACAAAGTAGGAAAGATCACTATTTGCCCACTTGCCAACAAACAGGTTCAGCTAATAGTTAAAAATACTTCTTTACAAATGCCTCCTGAGAAACTAACAGTAATATAACCCTAATTTTTGGATTTCTAAATATTTTTCTAAACAATGGAAGGTCACTAATGACTTCTAAAGAAAATCCAACGGAAAATTTGAAGCAAATTAGCAATCTGACTAGAAATTACTTCTCAGCTTATAAATCGTTTATTTTTAGCTTCAAAATATTACCTGACAAATACTAATTAAGGAATTCAAAGGCCAAGGAATGAACTTATGCCTCTGACTTGCTTTAAGAAATGACTATATCCACAATGGAATGGAAAATGCCAGGTGGCCTAGTAATAAAGTCTTTCATTACATTATTAAACAATGTGTTGACAATACTTTAGGGCCTGTGCACAAGCACACACACATTCCTGGTTTTTCTTTTGTGGAAAAGAAAAAAAAAGTACTCCCCAGGGTCCATTAAATAGGCACGACATAGACAATTCTTCGAACTCTCCTAGAGAAAGCTAGGTGAGACCCTATTCTCACAGTCATCTGAACAACAATAAGCACAAGATTTAAAAAAATTAAAAATAATTTTTAAAAAAGATAAAATAGCATAAAACTTCAAATTAAAGAAACCATTTCATATAAAATGGACACTAGCAATTAATAAGTACCTATATTTTATTTGCCTGAATTAGATGGGACATTACTTAAAAGTAGATGATCCAATCATGGATTAAGCAGAATGAGATGCTTGTTAGTATATGCTCAGAGGTGACATGGTTAGTCCATCAAGTTAATGAACTCTGTACCTTCTCCTATGAATGGGAGGTCTCCTGACAACATCCCCAAGAACTCGCATTGAACTGAAAATGAATGGTGAAGAGGTCAGTGTTGCAGGTGAAACAAAATGGGATACAAATGCATGAAACATACAGACACCACACTGGGGAGAGAGACACTGCTCAAAGAGAAATGGCACAGGCAAGAGAATGAAGGAATGTGGAATGAGAAAAACATCAGGACCAAAAGGGCCTGACAGTTTCTGTGGAGGGCTACTTTGCTCCTCCCCTTGCTCCAAGGAGTTAATCAGATGGCAAAAGTTACAAAGTTTATTAAATTATTAAAGAATCAGAAAAAAATTACTACTCAAAGCTTTAAAGGGGTTTTTCTTAACACTTTAAAATTCAGGTTATACTACATGCAGGTAATACCATAACAATTAGCCAAACTAATTAAAACCTCACTCTCATTCCATTATCTTCAGAGGTATTAGGACAGTGGTCCTAGGTAAGCCCTAGCAGTAAATTCAAACAGGAGATCCCATGACATTATGCAGGATGAAAAGAAGTAGAGTTCTAGTCTCAGTTCAGTCTAGAACTGAACTGAGATCACCATGTAATTTTGGGCAAATCATTTATTCTGAGCTTCAATTTCCTCATCTGAGCTACATGACAGACACAGTCACATGTAGCTCTAAAATCAAAGTTGTGACAAAGGAACCCATAGTGGATTATAAAGAAAAGGGGATTGTATAGAAAATAAACCCTCATTCCTTGATGCTGTTATCATTTAAGATAAGACTGTCCTGCCAAAAAAGTTACATTTGCTTCAAGCTCTGGCTGTAGGGATCATTCACCATGCTCTTACATTTTCTGTTGCTCTGAATGCTTAAAAAAAAAAAAAAAAAAAGAGTACACCACGAGCAAAACTGGGAAATTACTTTTTATAAAATCTAGGGTCTCAAACGTATATAAAAACAAGCTAGCAGAAAAAGCATGCTGCTTATTTTTAAGGTTAGCATCCTACATGCCACCATAGAATAATATGGAATTATAGAAACGGCATTTGACTAAGAGACCAGAGACCTTGGATAAATGATGCAAACTACCTGCACCAGTCTTCTCATCTGCAAACATGGGGATAATACCACTCGACTCATGGAGAGGACTGAAAAATTATATCAGAAATGTGTTATAAAGAGAGTCTGAAAAGATTAGCAAATTAGGAAAGTGTAAGAAGGTATTACTGTGAGCTCCATGCAGGCAGGGACTTTGTCTTGTTTACCTATCTCCAGAACCTAGAGCAGAGTCTGGCACATAGTGAGTGTTCAATATATGTTGGCTGAATAAATAAGTGAATGAATGTGATTACACAGCCATAATATTATCAGGAGGTTGAGAAATTTGAGCAAATAATTGCTATTGCTGAGCTGTTTACATCAATTATTATTATTACTACTATTATTATTATTATTTTGAGACAGGGTCTCACTGTTGCCCAGACTGGAGTGCAGTGGTATGATCATGGCTCACTGCAGCCTCGAACTTCTGGGCTGAAGCAATCCTCCCATCTCATCCTCTCGAGTAGCTGGGACCACAGGCATGTACTACCATGCGCGGCTGTTTTCTTTTTTGTAGAGATGGGGTCTCCTATGTTGCATAGGCTGGTCTCAAACTCCTGGGCTCATGAGATTACATCAATTGTTTTAAAACAACTGTCAGCCTCATCCCTTATCTGTTTTACTTATTAGCAAAGTAGCTTTGGAATAAGCACACTCTTGTAAATATAGTAGGCACTACCATACTCATTCTTTAAAGCTAAAACCATCTGCTTACATTTGTCTAGCCAGCCAGCAGTCAGAAGTCAAATTCAGGCCAGGCGCGCTGGCTCACGCCTGTGATCCCAGCACTTTGGGAGGCCGAGGCGGGTGGATCACAAGGTCAGGAGATCGAGACCATCCTGGCTAACACAGTGAAACCCTGTCTCTACTAAAAATACAAAAAAAATTAGCCAGGCGTGGTGGCGGGCGCCTGTAGTCCCAGCTACTTGGGAGACTGAGGCAGGAGAATGGAGTGAACCCGGGAGGCAGAGCTTGCAGGGAGCCGAGATTGCGCCGCTGCACTCCAGCCTGGGTGACAGAGCGAGACTCCATCTCAGGAAAAAAAAAAGAAGTCAAATTCGACATACCTTCATATAGCCTGCTTCCAAATTGAAGGACTGATACTGGGTCACACTTAATACAAGTTCCCACATGGGAAAATCCCAACAATTTAATGGTATGTAATGAATGTAAAATGAATGTAATGAGTCTTATATCCTCTTGAGGGTTAAACAATGATAATTTAGACTTTATCAAAACTTTCTGTATTAGAAACAGATGGTTTTAATTCTCAGAAAATACTCTGAAAGACTTTGATGTGTTAAGACTGTAAGACTTCATGTTTGTTTCTTAATTCAAAGTTGACATGAAACTACTGCCTCCAATATTTTCTCATTCATAAGTTTCATTAATGTGGTAAGAATAAACATTCCCATTTACTAAACACTCATTATATGACAATCACATTTCATTGTATTATTAAAAATAATAATGAAGGTATTTTACAGATGAGAATATTAAAGCTTAGAGGGGTCAGGTGACTTGCCCAAGGTCATCTACATAGTAAATTTTGGAGCTGGGGTCTGAACACAGATTTTCCTGATTCCAAAGCCTATATTCTTTCTTCTATACTATGGGGTCTCCTAAATTCTTTTACCAACAATAATACAAATCAGAAGCTTCTCAAAAGCAAGCAGACACTGAGACACTAAACAAACCGCCTCCCATCTCACCTCCGGTGGTTCATTTCTGCATCGCTGGCTGCATTTTTCCCAGGCCCCCAGCTGTGCCTCCGGAAGGGAGAAAGAGAGCGCATGGAGCTCCTTAGGACAGAGCAGTTTGCAGGCACTTCAGTGATACTGTCCATCTCCTCCTCCTCCACGTCGCCTGGGTCAGCAGGCTCACTCTCACTTTCTCGACCCTCAGCTCCCATCCCATGGCTGTAGAATCCATCAAGGCTTTGCCGATCTCTTGACCTGTTTGGCTTTAAAATCTGGGAGAGAGACACATCACTGCCATGAGAAGAATGTCGGTCCAGTGAAGCCGTGTCATCGGTGGATGAACTGGATCCGGTGATATCACAGGCCAAATGCTCTTCCTCTGGCTGTAATGGAGAGAAAGCACATATGGTTGAAGCCAGCAGGGCCAATCAGATAGCCTCAGTTATTCTAGATCAAGCCAATGGCTTCTCAGTGGATTCCAGGCAGGTAAGATCATAATTGGCCTCAGAGACTTGTTTTTTTAATAGGATGATCACAATTGGATTCAAATCCCCCCTGGACTCTAGAAGAGAAACAGTCTAGATCTATCCTCTTTTTTTTGTTTGTTTTTGAGACAGTCTCACTCTGTCGCCCAGGCTGGAGTACAGTGGCTCCATCTTAGCTCACCACAACCTCCGCCTCCTGGATTCAAGAGATTATCCTGCCTCGGCCTCCCAAGTAGCTGGGATTACAGGCATGCACCACTACGCCTGGCTAATTTTTGTATTTTTAGTACAGACAGGGTTTCACCATGCTGGCCAGGCTGGTCTGTAACGCCTAACTTCAAATGATCGACCCACCTCAGCCTCCCAAAATGGTGGGATTACAGGCGTGAGCCACTGCGCCTGGCCTAGGTCTATCCTCTTTTTATCCTCTTACTAGAGGTACTACACTAGAAGTACATCATTTTTTCTTTCTTTTCTTTTTTTTCCAATTTGAGACAGGGTCTCACTCTGTCACCCAGGCTGGGGTGCAGTGGTGAAATTATGGCTCACTGCAGCCTTGACCTCCTGGGCCCAAGTGATCCTCCCACCTCAGCCTCCCGAGTGGCTGGAACTACAAGCATGTGCCAGCATGCTGAGCTAATTTTTTGTGTGTATTTCTTTTAGACACAGGGTTTCACCATGTTGCCCAGGATGGTCTTCAACTCCTGGGATCCTCTTGCCTTGGCTTCCCAAAGTGCTGGGATTACAGGTTTGAGCCACCGTGACCAGCCCATTTTTTTCTTCAAGAGGAAAAATATCAAATTTATGTTAGTTCTTTCAGTAAATATCACCAACTGCAATGAAGGGAATCCATCTGTCTCTGGGTTTTTTGTATATGAAAACAAAATTTATCATGTGTTAGGTTTAATTATTTTTTATAAGCTTTAACTGAAAACAAAACAGTCTGCTTGGCTACAATAATAATATGCTGAAATTAATATTCCAAAAGGAAGTCTGTGGTTGTTTTTAGTGGCCTTCTGAAAAATGTGGAATAGCTTATGACCCCACCTAAAGTTTGCCACAAATGCATAAGTACCTGTTACAAATATCTAAATGGAAGAAAGCTATACATTTTTCTCATTTCACTGAGAACTGGCTGAGTATTATGAGGCCAAATCATACATTAAATAATCAGTCCTGGCAATGAGGTCTTTGATAAAGTGATGATGCTCTTTCCTGGCTAACCTCTAGTGCCTAACAGGTTCTGTGTAACTCTGTTCTAGTAGCCTGACATTTTCTACTTGTTGAAACATACCAGTGGCTGGGCGCAGTGGCTCATGCCTGTAATCCCAGCTACTGGGGAGGCTGAGGAAGGAAAATCTCTTGAACCTGAGAGGGAGCGAGGGAAGGAGATACCAGAACACAGAATTTGATGGGTGAGGGAAAGATGAGCTTCATGGTACCCAAAAGGCCAAAAGAAGTGTCTAAGAGATGTTTGATCATACTCTTAAGATGTGGACACTGTCTTAATAGCTATTTTGCACTCTTACGGGATGGGGGCAGGGAACAGGGAAGGGCATTTTGTAATTCTTTTTCCCTTTTTCACAATATTTTCCAAATTAGTCTACTCAATGTTTTAATTAAGGGTAAAAAAAAATTATGGTTCTTCAAGAAAGAGAAAAAAATTATGAAAATCTTTCAGCTTTGGAATAGAAAACAAGCTCTATATCTCTATACTATAAGGAGACTCTTTTTAAAGGTTTGATGTAATAGTTCAAAAGCACACTACCTTCTAAAAGCACCCTTCCTACCTTTTGGGCTTGATCTCATAAGCTAATAAGAAGGCTTTCTTTTTCCAGTTCCGTGGAATCCAGTTTCCTAGATTGTTTTTTAAGTAATGTATGGGAATGAGAGAAAAGATGCAAGGGGATCACTGGACAGGTCAAACTGAGGTCCAGATTTTCCAACGGACGCAGGCATGAGCAGCAGAATCAAGATTTGAACCCAGGCTGATTTCAACTCAAATTGCCCTATTCTGGTATCTCAATCATCTTTTTAAAAAACCCTGTAAGAACAAGATATCAAAGTCAGTATCAGAAAAGTCCCTTCACTGGGTCACTCTGTAAAATAAAACTATGGTTCACTGAGTAAATTCTAAATTGTGGTAGGTATTATTTTAAAATGAAATAACTGACTATGCTTTCTGAGTGAGGGACTCAGGGGTTTCCTAAAGGGGTCCTATTCACGGGGCAACTTTCCATGGACAAGGACAATGTAAATGGTCTCGTGAATATCTCGGCTTTCTCACTGTACTGGGTTGAATAATGTCCTCCTCAGATACAGGTCCTTCTCAGAATGTGAGCTTATTTGGAAAGAGGGTCTTTGCAGATGTAATTAGTTAAGATGAGGTTATACTGGAGTAGGGTGGATCCAAAATGTCCCCAGATCCCAACACAAATGGTGTCCCTGCAAGAGGAGAAGAGACACAAAAAGACACACAGGAGAGAATACCACGTGAAGGCAGAGGAGAGATTGGAGTGCAGTGTCTACAACCCAAGGAACACCAAGGACTGAACAAGCACCAGAGACTAGAAGAGAGGCCATTTTCTCTCAGAGCCTACAGAAGGAAAGCAGCCCCACTGACACGGTGATTAGGATCTCCAGCCTCCAGAACTGGGACCAAGTAAGTTCCTGTTGTTTTCAGCCGCCCAGCTTCCAGTAATTTGTTACAGCAGCCCTAGGAAGCTAATATACTCACGCTTAGCTGCCTAAATGTCTAATTCTCAAAATAATACCAAGGGACAAACAGAATGAACACCAATAAAGCAAAATGTATAACAAGCCTGTTCTAAAACACACAAAAAAGACTTCAAGGCAAACAAAAATTTTGAGTTAAAGTTTCCATTTATTAATTTACCATATAGCCTTCTTACAAGTTAGCTCTTCTCAGTTTGGAAACAACTCACAGACAGTTATATAGGTGCTTCTTCACTCTGGCATCCAATCTTGGAAGGATTTTGCCTTGAAAAAAAGGCCTGCTATCTCTCTGGCACTTAACGAATCTGAAGTTTATAAAACAACCATCTACCCTTTTGAGAGTCATTAAAATAAGGTGGGAAAATCTTTGGTGGCCTGTTTATACACATTTTAAAAACAAAGAGATCTGTCTAGAATATATTCTCAACACAAAGCCTTTCTTCCTAATATGTGCTTTTAACTCTGATCTCACTGAAACTACATGATTTCTACAGTCTTGCATATCTGGTAAGAATAAAGTTCACACAGAATAATATTCTTATACTCATTATTTTTACTGCAGTATGCAGCTCTTACTATGAATTGGTGGTTATTACTTGAAAAAGGAAAACAAAACATCACTGGTGAAAATGTAAAATGGTACAACCGCTTGGGAAAAGATCCGTTTCTTAGCAAACTAAACCTATACCTACCATATAATCTAAGAATTCGAATCCTAGGTATTTCTCAAGAGAAATGATATTATTTAGATTCCATTTATACGAAGTTCTGAAACAGAAAACTAATCTGCGGTGGGAAAACAGTTAAGACAGCTGTTGCCTTGAGAGGGTGTGAATGGAGACCGACTGAGAAGAGACATGAGGCAACTCCAAAGTGATGCTTATAGTCTGTACCCTGCTGCAGGCTGCGTACAAACGTGAATGAAGGCTTCTATCAAAAGTCACTGATGGGTGCTCACTTCAGTAGCACATACACTAAAATCGGAACAATGCACAGACGATTAGCATGGCCTCTGTGCAAGGATGATGCACACATTCGTGAAGCAGTCATTAAATTTTTTTTTAAAAAGTCACTGACTGGTACCCTCAAGATTGTACATTTCACTGTATGTAAACTTCACCGAAAAACCCAACCAACCTATAAACAAATACTGAATTCTAAGTGTTCAGAGGTGAAGTATATCGATATTTGTAACTTGCCTCAAAGAATTCAGGCAAACTGGGTGGACAGAAGGATGGACAGATATATAGTTACATAATAGAGCAAATACAATTAAAAGTTAATTGTAGGATCTAAGTAGTGGGTATACGGGTGTTCACTGTACAATTCTCCAAATTTTCTATATGCCTCAATATATTCTTAATAAAATGTTGGGAAAAATGCCTGATTGGCTTTCTTAGCCAGAGTTACATTATACAGGTATGGATACGTAAGTATATACAGAGGTATAAACATTATAAACATAAAATTACAAAACTGCTGCATACTTTATATCTTATTACTATACTTGAAGAAATCATGCTTAATATTGCCAAAATACTAGTCCTTTAATCTCCATTTATTCCCAAACATTTATTATTATTATTTGTAATGATACACAAGGCACTCTACTATGTGCCTTGGAAAATAATGGCTCACATTTTAAACACCTAACACATGCCAACCATTTAATCCATTTATGTTCAATATTTTAAGAAAAGTACCTGATTACAAGCATTACCACTGGTTCACAGTTTTAAGTTTTTAATAATTTCAGCACTTGTGCACAGGCAATTGCAGTTTTTGTTGTTTTTTTTTTTTTTTTTTTTTTTTTTTTTTTTTTTGAGATGGAGTCTCACTCTGTTGCCCAGGCTGGAGTATGGTGGCACAATCTCAGCTCACTGCAACCTCCACCTCCCAGGTTCGAATGATTCTCCTGCCTCAGCCTCCTGAGTAGCTGGGATTACAGGCGCCTGCCACCACGCCCAGCTAATTTTTGTATTTTTAATAGAGATGGGGTTTCACCATGTTGGCCAGGCTGGTCTCGAACTCCTGACCTCCAGTGATCCGCCTGCCTCGGCCTCTCAAAGGCATGAGCCACCACGCCCAGCCGCAATTGTCATTTTCTTAATTAGGATTCTGTAAATACATTTACTTTTATTTATTTTTAAGACAGCATCTCCCTCTGTTGCCCAGGCTGGAGTGCAGTTGCACAATCACAGCTCATTGCAGCCTTGAACTTCAAGGCTCAAGTGATCCTCTCGCCTCTGCCTCCCAAGTAGCTGGGACTACAGACGTGTGCCACCATGCCTGGCTAATTTTTAAATTTTTTACTGGAGACAGGTTCTCACTATGTTGCCCAGGCTGGTGTCAATCTCCTGGACTCAAGCAGTCCTCCCACTTCAGCCTCCCGAAGTGTTGGGATTACAAGTGTGAACCAGCATGCCTGGCTTACATTTATTTTTATCTCAAAAAGGTTTATTGTTTTTTTTTAAGTAATTTTTTGGCTTGGGGATCAAGGACCTGAGAAAAACTACAACACATGAAAGAAGGATGTTCCCTTTAGGTTTTGTATCTTATATAAGTCATTCTGATTTTTTTAAATCAATTGTAGATACATCTGCTAACCTGGGGAAGAAAAATAACATGGAAGGACCTTGATTTACCTCTCTTTGGGAAGACAGGCAGCAACTATTAATATTTCCTGTAGACTTTAATTATCCTTTTGGATAGTAGAGTGGCCTAGATCATGTATATTTTATAATCGTACTTTCTCTCTTAGCTAGTGCCAAAAAGAATCCTAGGATTTCTTTTCACTTTAAAAATAAAATCTAAATTTTATGCTATTGATTAAAGACCTTAGGAACCCACACATATTCATGAGAATAAACGTGAAGCTCATAACACTCACTAAAGAGTCATTTACCAGGAGGCATACTGAATGGAAAGACAGGGTTAAGGTGAAAAGGTCACGACAAACGTTACGGGCTGTTAAAGACCTCTGTGAGGCCAGAGACACAAATGGCTGCAGGAAGTGACCTCATGTACCACTCATGGTTCACAGAAAAAGATGTTGCAATGTCTCGCCTACAGATTATTTTTTAGAGATGGAGAAGAGGGTTAGAACCTGGGAACAAACTGCAAGACATTCTGATATTTTGCATAGCACACTCTGGGGGTGACCACTGAGGAAGACTTTTAAGGAAGCAGCTGATGGCCTATCTGCCAGTGCCACGCTTTTATTTAATCACTGGCTATTAGAGCAGGTTTGGGGAGGTTGAGAGTAAAATAAAAAATGAACAGATTTTAGAGTCAGGCCTAGATGCAAACCTCAAGTTGGCTGCTCACCCACTAAGTAATTCTGGATACATTTCTTTACCTATCAGTGCCTCTATTTCCTCAAGAGCATAAAACCACCCACTTGTCAGGGTTGCTGGGCAGACAAATTGAGATCAAATATTTTAAAAATTTAGTTCAGTACCTACTGTACAGTAAGTATCCTGTCAATATTAGTCTCTCTCCTTTTTGTAAGTCAGCCCTTGGTTTTATTAATGCTAGAGCAAACATTTATTGCAAAGCCTCTCCTGGTCACAGGCTACTTTGGTACAGCAAAAACACTAAGAGAAAAATCCTCCCCATCTCTTCTCAGGCCATGCAGACATTCTCAAGCATGCATGAGGAGGTGAAAGTGAAGCTACCATTTCTGGTTTTCCCTAAGCAGTCTAGTATAAAATGTAGGTGTTATTTATTTATTTATTTTTGAGACAGGGTCTTGCTCTGTCGCCCAGGCTGGAGTGCAGTGGTGCCATCACGGCTCACTGCAGCGTTAACCTCCTACACTTAAGTGATCTTCCCACCTCAGCCTCCTGAATAGCTGGGACCACAGGTGTGCACCACCATGTCTGGCTAATTTTGGTATTTTTTGTAGAGACAAGGTCCCATTATATTGGCCCAGGCTGATCTCAAACTCCTTGACTCAAGTGATCCTCCTGCCTTAGCCTCCCAAAATGCTAAGATCCACCACGCCTGGCCTCCTTCAACTTTTAAAAATTATATGTCTAATATTCTTGAAAAAAAAAATCTTCCAAATCTAGCACAGGCCATTTATATGAGCAATTTTGTAAATGGTTCTGGGAAAATAAGACGGCGAAATATAGAAAATTCTAATTCTCCTTAGCTAAGAAAACCATTCAATTAAGTGACCAGAAGTAACTCTGAGTCTGCAGAGATGGTAACATCCAGGCACAAGCTGTCATGCACCTAGGAGGTTGCAAGGAAGTATTTCTTAACAAAGACACTTCCATTTTTAAAAAACTTTTTACGTTAAAATTTTCAAACATATATAAATGTTTAACAAATCTCTGTATATCCATGACCTAGTTTCAATGATTATCAATGATCCCATTTTAAAGCTGGAACTTAGAGATACTATCTAATCTGTTTATCTCAGTATGTTTTTAGCGACACATATCTTCAGAATGGTATTCCCCTTGCGGGGAACAGAATTCCTTACAATTAAAACCTCGAAAGTCGCAGTGGAAATTACCTAAATTCTGATATTATTAAAAAAAAAATAAAATAACATAAAACTATTGATTTCTCTTTTCCTAAGTAAAGAGAAAGGCAGATCTTCTAAATGTGGAGTTTTTTTTGTTTTGTTTTTTGTTTTTTTGAGATGGAGTCTCGCTCTGTCGCCCAGGCTGGAGTGCAGTGGCACAATCTCGGCTCACTGCAAGCTCCGCCTCCCGGGTTCACGCCATTCTCCTGCCTCAGCCTCCCGAGTAGCTGGGACTACAGGTGCCCGCCACCACTATTTTTAGTAGAGATGGGGTTTCACCGTGTTAGCCAGGATGGTCTCGATCTCCTGACCTCATGATCAGCCCGCCTCAGCCTCCCAAAGTACTGGGATTACAGGCGTGAGCCATTGCGCCCGGTCCTAAATGTGGAGTTTTTACTTCATAGAATTTTTTGTCAAGTCACTATGAGTGACAATGATAGAAATCCTTAAGTTTGCATCATATTAAATAAGTCTTTCCAAAGACCTTGGGAAGACAATGAGTTCAAAAAAAAAAAAGTCAGGGAAGGCCAAAAATGAAAGGAAGGCACACAGGGTACATTCACAGAGGCACTGATATGCTCCTGATTCCCAAATCTTTAGGTCTCTTTTCTTGTAACTTCTATTTTATTTTATTTTTACTTTTGAGATGGAGTTTCACTCCTGTTGCCCAGGCTGCAGTGCAGTGGTGTGATCTCAGCTCACTTCAGCCTTCACCTCCTGGGTTCAAGCAATTCTCCTGCTTCAGCCTCCAGAGTAGCTGAGGTTACAGGCACGCGCCACCATGCCCAGCTAATTTTTTTGTATTTTTAGTAGAGACGGGTTTTCACCATTTCCAGGCTGGTCTCGAACTCCTGACCTCAAGTGATCTACCCGCCTTGGCCTCCCAAAGTGCTGGGATTACATGCATGAGCCACCACACCCGGCCTATTCTTGTAACTTCTACACAGCATCATTCACCATCTTGGACAACCTAATCACCCACTAACACAACTGCTCTCACCACTTCTCCGAGCTCATTATAAAACTAGAAGGAACCGTGTTGGTAGATGCAACAGTGTTTCCGCCTCTTCACCTCCTTACCATTAAGAAAACCACTTGTGGCATATAATTGAGTAGCATTTGCCATCTCTGCTGTGGGGAAAGCCCTCTATTCTTCTCAGGTGAGCAAAACAGAACTTGCTGCCACTAGAAACAAATATAAGCAAAAGAAAGCAAACTACCCCCATTCCCCACCTCCCTTAGGCAGCCTCCAATTATATGCAAATGTGAGCTGATTCATGTGGAAGGGCTCTATTGCAGAGATCTAGAAAGTTCCAATTAGGCAGGCTAGATGAGGATGAGTGATATGACCACACTCAGCAGGAAGCTTCAGGCCTAAACACATTAACCAGAAATGACTCTACAGCTGGTTTATAAATATGACATCATATAGTCTGAGCTGCGGTCCTTGCTGCCCACTGAGAAGTGTTCACTGTCATCTGACTTAATTAATTCTAAAGGAACTTCCATTTCTTCTGACTCCCAAGTGAGCTTCAAAATCTGTATTTAACTGGCCACAATTTCACATTAAATAACTTTGGCCAATGCTTTTTTCTTTCCCTTTTTTTTGTTTTTGGAGACAGAGTCTCGCTCTGCCACCCAGGCTAGAGTTTAGTGGCGCGAACTTGACTCACTGCAACCTCCACCTCCTGGGTTCAAGTGAGCACGTCCAGCTAATTTTTATATTTTTAGTAGAGATGGGGTTTCACCATGTTGGCCAGGCTGGTCTCGAACTCCTGACCTCAAGGGGTCCGCCCACCTCAGCCTCCCAAAGTGTTGGGATTACAGGCGTGAGCCACCATGCCCAGCCCAGTGCCTTTTTCTAAACCCTGGTAATCTGGCGCTTCCTTCTCCAAAGAACATTTACATGCCTCTCAGAGTGAGTGAGGCCCTACAAGGCTAGCTGGATCACAACTTACTAGCAGGAGTTACATATTTAGGGAAACAGGAGAGCACAAGAGGGGGAAAAAGTTGGAAAAGAGTTTGGGAAGCCCAAATAGGAACACAAAAGCCGTGTGACAAAAATGAAAGGAAGGTCCACACAGTACCTTTGGGAAGATGATGCTGTCCATGTCATCACTGGGTGAGTGAAAGAGGTCAGAATCACTCCCAGATTCTCTTTTAAGTACACCTTGTTTTGAGGTACACTCTCTGCCCAGTCCAACATCCAGGAAGTTCTCACATTCTGAAAAAGAGAATTTATTCACCAATATTGAAAAAAAAAAAACAAAAAAACCAAAAAACAAAAAGAACCACTTCCTTTTCACCCCAGCAACCAGTCTTTTAAATCTCTCTCTCACTCTTTTCTCTTCCTTCCCTCCTTATTTCTTTTTTTCAAAATTAAGAAGCTATAAAAGGACACAGTCAAATTAGTAGCTCTGCTACTCCAATTCTAGGTTGAAATAGCTCCTACAGGACAATCATGCATCTGCCACGTTTATATTAGGTACAGAAAGATAAAAGGATGATTTAGAAGCATATTCTACTTCTATTTAGATACCTGAATGGTAATGCTTTCCTCATGGTAGTGAGGGCATTTTTTTTCTTTTGTCTTCAAAATCCAAAGTCTTTTACTAGCAACTATGTGATGGGGTTTGTTTTAAACTTATAGGTTCTACTGAGTAATAACAGAAATATAATTTAACTTTTCTTACCATAAATAGCTCTTAAATTGGGGGCATAATATGCCAAAGTGGAAAAATTTATCATTTAGAATGTTTTCGGTTCAATAACTAGAACAGGGACCCTGGCAAGCTAGAGGGAGGGGTCTGTGACAGAAATACTACCTTTGTACATTGAGGAAGCCTAAAAACTTAGTAGCTTGAAATAAGCAAGGTATTCTCTCTTATTAACTTTGCTTTTCTGTTTTGTGTTGTTTATTTTGAGACAAGTTCTCGTTCTGTTGCTCAGGCTGTACTACGGTGACATGATCTCAGCTCACTTCAACCTCCACCTCCTGGGCTCAAGCAATCCTCACACCTTAGCCTCCCAAGTAGCTGAGAATGCAGGCACACGCCACCAAGTCCAGTTTATTTTTTGTAAAGATGGGGTTTTGGCATGTTGCCCAGGCTATTAACTTTGTAAACAAAAGTGACATGTGACTGGGTACCAACACGGTTAAAGAGATTTGTGGATGGTGAAACCAAGAACCCAAGTCCATTACTGAGTGGATATGAGCTTCCTTCAATAAGTTTTTGCAACTTCCGCCTCCTGGGTTCAAGCGATTCTCCTGCTTCAGCCTCTTGAGTAGCTGGGACTACAGGCACGTGCCACCATGCCTGGCTAATTTTTTTTTTTTTTTTTTTTTTTGTATTTTTAGTAGAGATGAGGTTTCACCGTGTTAGCCAGGATGATCTCCATCTCCTGACCATGTGATCCACCTGCCTCAGCCTCCCAAAGTGCTGGGATTACAGGTGTGAGCCACTGGGCCTGGCCCTAAGAAGTTTTAAGGATAAAAGTCATGGCCGGGCATGGTGGCTCAAGCCTGTAATCCCAGCACTTTGGGAGGCTGAGGCAGGCGGATCACCTGCGGCCAGAGTTCGAGAACAGCCTGGTCAACATGGTGAAACCCCGTCTCTACTAAAAATACAAAAAATTAGCCAGGCATGGTGGCAGGTGCCTGTAATCCCAGCTACTTGGGAGGCTGAGGCAGAAGAATCGCTTGAACCCGGGAAGCGGAGACTGCAGTGAGCCCAGTGAGCCAAGATCACGCCATTGCACTCCAGCCTAGGTGACAGAGAGCAACTTCATTTCCAAAAAAAAAAAAAAAGAAGATAAAAGTCATGCATCTCTGTTTTTGTAAGCAAGTTAATGTGTTATTTGGACAACCAGGTAGGCATGCTTTATCAAATTTGTAGGTGACACTAAATGATGAGGGACAGGGCAAGAAACCTGGCTATCTAGGAGTTAAAGAGAACTCTACTTGGAGGTTTTGGGGGAAGCAAATTCAAAAGGAACTGACAGTACAAGGTGATGACAAAACCAAAGAAACACTAATAGTTTTAGTCTCTATTAGTAAATAGTACACGGGCATCCAAAACGGGGACAGTCCTGTCGCTATGTGCCATCCAGACCACACCCTCGGGACTGTACTTGTTCCTAAATAACATCTCAAGTAGAACACTGATAAACAAAAATGTGTACGTAGTAATGGGGTCACGACAGTCAAACCGTCTGAGATACATACAGCTTGCCGAGGAGCTTGAAGAAAATGTGCCTAAAGACTGTCACAGATTCCCTCTGTACTGTTCCAGGGGCAAAGACCAGTGAGTGTGAGCTACAGAGCTTCACTAAAACGGGGCTTCTTAGCAATAGGTTGGGTGGCCTATAAAGTAATGACTATCACTTTACCAGAAGGGTTTTGGAACACAGAATGACTATGTCAAGATATTACAGAAAAGGTATCTGCACAGAGAGGGAAGTGAGGGTTGGACTACATAACTTCCAACGTCTCCTTTGATTATTAGATTTTATGCCTGGATGGTAATTATGTTGTCTCTGTGTGTTGAAAGTGGGAAGAAATAGTTCTTCTAATTAACAGTTAAGTAATTAGTGATAATCACTGAATTATTTGCGCTGGTAGCTTAGAGCAAGGGTCAAGGCTGCATTGCATTGCATTGGTATAGGTCATAAATCCCCTGCCAATAAAATTACTTTTTCTACTAGTTAAGCATCTGGCTAAATACTGGGGAGTAACCAAATAAAAAGAAATGTTTAGTGTTGGGGGGGAAGCAGTTTACTGTCTTGTAGCAGAAATGAACATATTAGAAGACAATTTCAACAAAGAATTACAAAAAAAAAAAATGCCATAGGAAGTGAGAGAGGGCTCATGGATGAATCTGAAAATCTTTCATTTAAAAAAAAAATCACCTTAGTCTGTTTCAGTCTTGGTTCAAACTATTTTGGAGTGTGTTAGTTCAATGGGAACAGCCCTGCCTTTAACAGACTGGAAACTATGGGTATTCTGGAGGTTTTTTTTTTTTCACGTTTCCTAGAGTATGTAGTAACCTAGGAGGAGTTGGTGGGTGTGATCTATTCCTTCTCCTTTCCCTGCTTGAAAAAATAAAAAAATGCCTTTCCATGGTTGAGGGAAAAATATGGGGGCTGGCCAAGAAAAGAAAGGGCTGTCACAGCAACTACGCTGAGCTGCTCGCTGTCCAGCTGGCCCTCTAACAGACCACGTCCAAATTCCAGACTGGAAAACAAACTAGCTCACGATATTCGAATGGAAAATTCATGGGGAAGATCCAGATTCAGCCCTGGGAGGAATACCTCACCCAGAAAATAAATTCAAGCCAGCACCACAAGGGATAACAAACCAAGTTTGGGACGAGAGTCTGCTCTGTGAGATAAAGCTGACTGTTGAGGAGGGAAAGAGGGAAAAGTACAGAAAGAAGGGCTAAGATGGAGAGAGAGGGACCGTAAACCATTATAACCCCCTAACGCCATGGGGCGGGGGGAGGTGGGGGGAATCCCTAAAGGCAGAGCTAATCCACACCCTGTGTCACATGAATTGGTAAGTTTTCAAAATTAATAAAATCTTTTCTTTCTTCCTATTTGTCCCCTTCCTACTGAATAAAGGGGAGCGGCATATCTAAGTGTAAACAAGAGTAAAGAGCTCTGGTTTTTTAGTTAGACTGATCAGGCTTAAATCTAGGTCTGACTACTTAATAGAAGAAAAATTCCAGGCAAGAAGTAATTTCACCCCTCTCAGTTGCCATTTCCATAACAGTGACAAGAGATGATTAGTACTTCCCTAAAGGAGTCATAGTGACAGGAATAATTTATACATACAGTAACCAGAACTCTGGTTTCCAGCACATAGCAGGTGTGTGATATATGTGTCTAATGAAGTTAAGGCTTCATTAACCTTTAATGTATGATTCAGTAAGTATCCAGATGACAGTACCTTAAAGGTGGACACAGGTAGGGCCAGTCCCATTTTATGACCCATATGTAAATCTGTCTGTAATTTTTGTGTACTGAGCTATTAGCTTTTCAGAAGCTAACATAATACAAACTTTTTAAAAGGTGTTATCTAGTCATTTAGGTTTAAAACAACATATATGCCAACAAACTGTTGTTGGGGAAGGGCAGGAAAACACACTGCTGAAATCCGGTGGGCTCTGTTATGTCACACTAATCATAATTCTATCTTGTAATTTATCCATTATTGAAGAGTATACAAAGTGATTTTAAAAGACAGTATCTTGGCCAGGCACGGTGGCTCATGCCTGTAATCCCTTTGTAAGCACTTTGGAAGGATGAGGGGGATGGATCACAAGGTCAGGAGATTGAGACCATCCTGGCTAATATGGTGAAACCCCATCTCTACTGAAAATACAAAAAAATTAGCCGGGTGTGGTGGCAGGCACCTGTAGTCCCAGCTACTCAGAAGGCTGAGGCAGGAGAATGGTGTGAACCTGGGAGGCGGAGCTTGCAGTGAGCCGAGATTGTGCCACTGCATTCCAGCCTGGGCGACAGAGCGAGACTCCGTTATTTATTTATTTATTTATTTATTTATTTATTTATTTATTTATTTATTTATTTATTTATTTGAGATGGAGTCTTGCTCCGTCGCCCAGGCTGGAGTGCAGTGGCATGATCTTGGCTCACTGCAACCTCCGCCTCCCAGGTTCAAGTGATTCTTCTGCCTCAGTCTCCCGAGTATCTGGGACTACAGAGGCGTGCCACCACACCCGGCTAATTTTTGTATTTTTAGTAGAGATGGGAGTTTCACCATACTGGCCAGGCTGGTCTTGAACTCCTGATCTCGTGATCTGCCCGCCTCGGCCTCCCCAAGTGTTGGGATTACAGGCGTGAGCCACCTCGCCCGGCCAAAAGACAATATCTTATTTGGTCTAATGCTATTGCTCTCTTGAGGAAGTGTGTATAAAGTAAAATACAGAAACCTGCAAAACAAAGTACCTGGGATTCACAAAAACACTATGCCTAAAATCAAAATCTCAGGTCTGAAGCTCAGTAGCATAATTCTGATCTGCAATTCTGTTAAATCGAGATTTTACAATAATTACTCTAAAAAGACTAAATTGCTTATGCTTGGGGTTAGGGTGTACAGTAGGTCTACAGAATTCAAAATTGTGTCCTGGGGAAAACATCCAGGGGTTCAAAAATTATTTCTCTAAATATAGAAATTAAACTATGATGTGTGGAGATCTTTCCTTCCTATGAATATTCAAACTGTGACCAACCTCATTTAACCTTTACTTGGCAGAAAGTCTCACTCTTGGGTGGTTTTAATTACACTTTTAGAAAAAGCCCCAAACAGTTTAAGGACCCAAAACACAGTAGTAAGTGGTACACGTTTAAGTAGAAGGTTCTAGGAGGCTACATGGGGGAAGTGTCAGCTAAATCTGTGAACAGGGCCAATCTTGTAAAACTTGGACCCTGAACACAACTATAGCATAATATCCTTAACTACTCTCAAAAAATGAGACAAAAATAGAGAAAAACACTTCTCATATTTGTTTTCAATATTTCCTTTGTAGTAAAGTTAGAGAGTTGACAATCAGTAGGAAACTGCTCTGGAGTTAGAGGATTCAAAACCATTTGTTTTTAAATTTAATACTACTGGAGGGTATCTACATGTAAACTATTTCTAAAAAGACCTGCAAATGAAGACTAGGTAATTTTTAAAGCTGGGCAGTAAAAATTGGGAAGGCAAACAGAGGCTTGCTGGGTAAAACAGACTAAAAAAACTCAGAATGCAAATTACTAGTATTCACTTAGCAGTCGTAGAACAGGCACAGGGATTACTCATCATGTCATCTGTACTACACCCTCAAAATGAGACAGGCTACTAACACTTTACAGATGGGAGGGAGACAACGGAGCACACAGACATTAGGGAACATACTTTACATCACACAGAGTTAGAGGCTGGACCTGGTTTAAAAGTTGGGAATCCTAACTAATCACAAGCTATGTGCTGTGTCATTAACAAGCAAGGTCTTAAGAGCATCGTACCCTCAAGTGTTGTTAGGAATAACTCAAAGGTACTTAAGGAAAGACTTAATTCCTGACCATGTGTCCAAAGTGTAATGGTTCTCAACCTTGGGTACACAGCAGGGTAATCAAAGGAGCTTATAAAGATTTTGATATCTAGGCCACACCCCACCCAATTAAATCAGAATATCTGGAGGTAGGACCCAGGCATCAGTATATTTTTAAAGCTTGTTCAGCCAGATAATTCCAATGTGCATTCAAAATTGAGAACCTCAGGTTTGGTTAACAGTATATTTATACTTTTACCAGATTAAAAATCCTATGTCATATGTATATGCACAGCACAGATGCCTTCACAAATGAATGAATCATAAAGCCACCTATGATGTCTGTTGCTACCAAAACAAAATTCGGTAATTACATGTGTTCATCTTCAACTGTAAGACAAAATGCCTACAAACCCAGATCACATACATCCCTTCCTCTGATTTACTGTATAACATGCTAAGGAAGGGCAGATCTCCAAATAAAACGATCTGCCAGAGTGGGGCTGCAGCTCCAGAAAATGAATGGATAATCTCAGCTTACCTGGGCTCTGCTTGGAAGCCAGAAGAGATGCTGCATCAGGGCATGGCTCTATTGTACACCAGTTTTCTCGGTTTATCTGAAAGAAAAAGAAAACACAGAGTTTCAGACATTGAAGTAATGTGAGATAATTTTACAGGTGCCAAAATTATGTCAACTGACCAACATTCCTATCTTTTTCTTTAATACAGGGTGAGCAAACTTATGTCAAGGGAAAAAAATTTTTTTTTCACAATATTACCACAGCAATCTATACTCAAGGATCTTTAGAGGTTGTCAATAAAAATTAGGCATACAAAAGCAATAAGAAAAGATACACGAAGATGAAGGCCATAGTGTAGGCCAAGGGTAAAATTAAAAAAGTTAACAAATGAAATTGACTAAATATTAAAATACATATTTGGTGTGGCTCATGCCAGTAATCCCAACACTTTGGGAGGCTGAGGTGGGAGGACTGCTTGAGGCCAGGAGTTCAAGACAAGTCTGGCAAATGTGGCAAAACCCCATCTCTACTAAAATACAAAATTTACCCAGGCATGGTGGTGGTGCACGCCTGTAATCCCAGCTACTCAGGAGGCTGAGGCACAAGAATTGCTTAAACCCGGGAGGCAGATGTTGCAGTGAGCAGAGATCGCGCCACTGCACTCCAGCCTGGGCGGAGCAAGACGCCATCTCAAAAAAAAAAAACAGGCTCAGAGGGGTTGCTGAAGTAATAAACAGCAGGACTGGTGCTGGAATGCCAAGTCTGTGTTATTCTAAAAAGCAAATACTTCCCCCTTCCCCACAAATTAAAAAAAATTTAAATATTGCCTTTACACCTCCCAACCCTCTTAATATTATAATTCTCTTTGATTGAATTTTAAATTTTTAAAATTACCACTGAAGATTTCAATACTCCTCTCTTAATTGATAAACACAAACAAAATCAGCAAGATAGAGAAAACTTGAAAAACCTCAACCAATCTGAGCTAACACAATATAGAACACTCCACCCAATAATAGCATAAGAAACATTCTCAAGTGCACTTGGAATGTTCATATTCTATCACATAAAACAAACCTCAAATAAAACAAATGTTCATATTGTATCACATAAAACAAACCTCAAATAAAACAAACATATACTGTAGCACAAAACAAGTCTTAAATATAAGAGAATTAAAATAATAAAAAGTATGCTCTGTGATCACAACAGTATTAAATCAGAAATCCAAAACAAAAGATACTGGGGAAAAACTCAAATATTTGAAAAAAATTTTAAAAACTTCTAAATAGGCTGGGCGTGGCACGCCTGTAATCCCAGCACTTTAGGAGGCTGAGGCGGGCGGATCACAAGGTCAGGAGATGGAGACCATCCTGGCTAACACGGTGAAATCCTGTCTCTACTAAAAAAAAAATACAAAAAAATTAGCCAGGCATGGTGGCAGGCGCCTGCAGTCGCAGCTACTCAGGGTCAGGAGGCTGAGGCAGAACGGCATGAACCCGGGAGGCAAAGCTTGCAGTGAGTGAAGATCGCGCCACTGCACTCCAGCCTGGGTGACAGAGATTAAAAAAAAAAAAAAAAAAAACTTCTAAATAACCCAGGGAAAGTAGAAATATTAAGAAAAAGAAGAAAATATTTTAAATTGAATAAAAATTAAAACACCACATATAAAAATGTGTGGATATAACTAAAGCAGTGCTAACAGCAATATTTGTAACATTACATGCCTATATTAGAACATAAGGTTTCAAATCAGTGATCTAAACTTCTACCTTATGAAACTAGAAAAAGAGGAGGAAATTAACCCAAAGCAAGCAGGATAAAGAAAATAAAGAACAAAAATCAATAAAATAGAATACAGAAGAACAATAAAATCAATGAAACCAAAAGCTGGTTCCTTAAAAGGGTCAATAATATCAATACAACTCTGGCGAGGCTAATCAAAAAAGAAAAGCGACAAATGACAGGAATCAGGAATTACAGAGTGACACCATTACAGATCCTATAGATATTGAAAAAATAAAGAAATATTACGAACATTACTGCAATAAATTCATCAAGTTGGATGAAATAGCATTCCATGACACTATGCAAACTACCAAAATTCACTCAAGAAAACATAGATAATCTAAATAGCCTTATTCTATTAAAGCAATTGAGTCCATAGTTTAAAACTTTATTACAAGGAAAACTTCAGGCCTAGATGACTTCAGTGGTGAATGCTACCAAACATTTAAGAAAGAAATGTCAACTCTACACAAGCTCTTACAGAAAACAGAAGAAAAGTATTTACAATGCAGCTCATTTTATGAGCCTAGCATTACTCTGAAATCAAAACCAGACAGATATAAGAAAACTATAGATCAATATTCCTCAGGAATACAGATGCAAAAAACCTTAACAAAATTTTAGGTTAATGGAATCCAGCAATATATATCATGAGCAAATGGGTCCATCCCAGGAATTTAAGGTTGGTTTAGCACTTGAAAAACCAGTTTATTAAAAGACCAAAAAACTCACGAACTAATGATCATCATTAGATGAAAAGAATTTGGGGCCGGGAGCGGCGGCTCATGCCTGTAATCCCAGCACTTTGGGAAGCCAAGGCAGGCAGATCACTTCAGGTCAGGAGTTCAAGATCAGCCTGGCCAACATGGTGAAACCACATCTCTACTGAAAATACAAAAATCAGCCAGGTGTGGTGGTGGGTCTCTGTAATCCCAGCTACTAGGGAGCCTGAGGCATGAGAATCACTTGAACCCAGGAGGCAGAGGTTGCAGCGAGCCGTGATTGTGCCACTGAACACCAGCCTGGACAACAAAGCAAGAATCTGCCTCAAAGGAAAAAAAAAAAATCAGCAAAATTCAACATCTATTCATGATAAAAACTCTCAGAACACTAGGAACAGAAAGGAAATTACTCAACCTGACAAAGGCATCTATAAAAAACCTACGGTTAACATTATATTTATTGGTGAAAGACTAAATGCTTTCATTCTGAGATCAGTAACCAAAGATGTCCATTCTCATCACTTTTATTCAACAATATTCTGGAGGTCCTATCCAGTGCAGTAAAGCAGAAAAAGAAAGAAAACGCATACCATTGGAAAGGAAGAAGTAAAACTTGGTTTATTCACAAATGGCGTGACTGCCTATGTAGAAAATCCTAAGGAATCTATAAAAATACTGGAATAAATAATGTATTAATAAAAGCAAGGTTGCCAGACACAAAGTCAACATACTAGCAATGAGCAATTAGAAATTGAAATTAAAAGTAAAAGCAATACCATTTACAAAAGCCTCAATAAATATAAAATAATTAGGGATAATTTTAAGAAAATATGAGTAAGACTCATACTCTGAAACCTTTATAAAACATTGTTGAGAAAAATTAATGCAGACTTAAATAAATACAGAGATTCCATGAGATCAGAAGACTCAATACAGTTGTTAATTGTCCTCAAATTGATCACTACATGATTTCAAGACATACTATAAAAGCTGCACTAACCAAACCGGGGTGATATTAAACAGCAGACATATAGATCAATGGCAGAGAAGAGAGAATCCACAAACAGACCTTCACAGATATGGCCCATTGATTCCTGACAAAGATGCCAAGATATTTTAATGAGGAACAAATAGTCTTATGAACAAATGATGCTATAACGACTGGATACTAATATGTAAACAAATACAACTCCCCAAGATCTAAAATCTTACCCCAAACCTTACCACCTATAAAAATGAACTCAGAATACTTTATATATCTAAATGTTCAACCTAAAACTATAAAACTCCTAAAGAAGACAGAGGGAAACACTTTTATGGGAACTTCGGTTACACAAAGATTTCTTAAATAGTACATTTTTTAAAACATGAAAAAAAAGGATAAATCTATGTCAACCTTAAAAACTTTTACTCCTCAAAAGCCACTGTTAGGAAAACAAAAAGGTAAACTAAAAACTGAAGGAAAATATTTATAAAACAATTATCTGCTAAGAACTCCTACCCGGAATATTTAAAAATAAAAGAAACTCTTACAATGCAGTAACAAAGCAACATGATTTTTTAAATGGGTAAAAGATTTGAATAAACATTTTATTTAAAAAGATATACGAAAGGCAGATAAGCAAAAAAAAGATACCCAACATCATTAATCCACAGGAAAATGTAAATTAAAATCACAAGGACATAGCAGCAGACATCCATTACAAGAGTCAAAATTTGAGACTGATAATACCAAATGTTGGCAAAGATGTGGAGCAACTAGAACACAGTACTGTTGCTGAAAGAAAGCAAAATAGTACAGCCATTTTGGGAAAGCAGTTTAGCAGTTTTTCATAATGTCAAACATATACTTACATACAACATAGCATTCCATTCATTTACCGAAGAAGAATCAAAACCTACTGTCACACAAAGACTTGCACTGGAATTTTTAAAGCGCTTTAATTCATGAGAGCTCCAAACTAGAAACAGTCCAGATTGCCATCAAATGGTAAATGGATAAGCAAATTATAATATATCCATACAATGTTATAGATTCATAGAAAGAAGAAATGAACTGCTGATACAAACAACATGGATGAATCTCAAGAGTATTACGGTAAGTTAAAAAAAAAAAAAAGCCAGACTCAAAAGACTATGTATTGTATGGTTCTATCCATGCAATATCTAGAAAAGGCAAGCCTACAGTAGCAAGAAAACATTAGTGATCAGCAGAGAATGAAGGAGAAGACTGACTACAGGGAGACAGAACAGAACTTCTGAGCTGACAGAAGTGTTCCTATTATGATGCGGTAGTGATTACACAATTTAAATATTTGTCAAGGCTCACCAAACTATAAACTTATATTGGTTAATTTTGTTGTATGGAAATTTATACCAGAATAAAGCTGAAAACAAATACATTCTCAAAAACAGAAGTATAAAATATAAAATAAATTTTAGTCTTCACAATTCCCACACACCTTAACATTATAACCCTTTAATCATTAAAACTGACATACTTAGATGTAATTCTAAATAATATGAGCAGAAATATCTAAACAAACTACTAAGTAGTTGTGAATATTTGTATGCTCAAAGACAGAAGCCTTGATTTTATTCAATAACCTCTAAAATATATTTCTGATCACTTTAGTGAGAATCTTAAACTCTTCTGCTGACAAAGATCAACAGTTTTACTGTATATGCTAAGTGGCATAAGGCAGAAAGCTAGAGACATTTTGTCAAATTATAACTGACAATAAAATGAATGAAAGGAATTAAACTGCTTGCAAATAACCAGGCAAACTAGAACCACATGAAACAAAACACTTTATCATTTGCTCTGTTCAGCTATTTTACTATTACAGAGAGCAAAAACAGCAAGAATCAGGGGCCATCAAGGTTTCAGTTCCTGGTGTGTTACAAAATGATGCCAAAAATTTAAAAGTAATCCTGAATGGAACTGAATCTTCAGCAGGTGCCCTGGGATTACACATATTTAAAAATATCCTTTCTGAAAGGTACTTTAAGGTATACACAATAAGGAAGTAACCACAAATTTTGTAACTTTACCAACACCCTATCCACATCTTTCAAAGAATTGAAACAACACATTTTCCTTTTTAAAAAAAAAAGGCCGGGTGCAGTGGCTCATACCTGTAATCCCAGCACTTTGGGAGGCCGAGGTGGGCAGATCACGAGGTCAGGAGATCGAGACCATCCTGGCTAACACAGTGAAACCCCGTCTCTACTAAAAATACAAAAACATTAGCCAGGCGTGGTGGCGGGCGCCTGTAGTCCCAGCTACTCGGGAGGCTGAGGCAGGAGAATGGCGTGAACCCGGGAGGCTCAGCTTGCAGTAAGCCGAGATTGTGCCACTGCACTCCAGCCTGGGTGACAAAGAGAGACTCCGTCTCAAAAAAAAAAAAAAAAAAAAAAAAAAGAAAAAAAAAGTCATTCAGAGAATTTTCTCTTAATTTCAAATGGCATTTCATTTGCAATGAGCCAAATTTTACTTACTGTGAAATAAGATTCTCTGCTAATAGAACCACTGTACTGCAATACAAAACTACACTTTTAAGCTGGAAGGGAAAAAATTACTCCCCCCCCGCCCCTATTATTCCTGTAATAAGAAGAGGCTGCATGAATACAGCAACAAGTTTAGTTTACAGAAATAAAAGAGCTCAGATGATTCTTTAGTGATAAGTAAAGAATGTGGAAATGAACTACTACGAATTACCATATTACTGTCTCTTACCTTGACCTTCAACAAGGGGCCAACAGTTTAGAAAACCCTATTAAAATTCTATTTCTGCCGGGCGCGGTGGCACATGCCTGTAATCCCAGCACTTTGGGAGGCCGAGGCAGGCGGATCACAAGGTTAGGAGTTCGAGATCATCCTGGCCAACATAGTGAAACCCTGTCTCTACTGAAAAAATACAAAAATTATCTGGGCGTGGTGGCACATGCCTGTAGTCCCAGCTACTTGGGAGGCTGAGACAGGAGAATCGCTTGAACCATGGAGTCAGAGGTTGCAGTGAGCCAAGATCACGCCACAGCACTCCAGCCTAGCGACAGAGCAAGATTCCGCCTCAAAAAAAAAAAAATTTTATTTCTTAGAATACTTTTCATTACCTTCTCAATACCACATGTCATTCCACAGCCAATGAGTAAAGTGAACATTATTTGCCTTGAATATGCAAGCAACTAAGACTCTCTATACTTTTCCTGTCATTTTAGGTACATGTGTTACATAAAGTGAGTTTCATATTTTACAAAATTATATACAATAAACACATACTACTAGAACAAAATTAAAGTTACATATCTTTAAGTAAATATGCTAATTTCTGAGTAACAGTGATGAGAACATAATAACAGTGATGAGAACATAATCATGTTGGAAAACAATTCTCCATGTCCCTCTTGCATTTCTGCAGGTTTTATCAGCAAAAGCCCTGATGGTCCTTTTATTCTAGACTATCTTTTCAAGACTGTTTGTATATCAAACACCCTTAGAAGATAAAAATACTGTTTCCTTCCGAAGCAAAGGGCAGGTTTGTTTCTGTCCAGTATTATAAAGATAATGTCTCAGTCAAGGGCAAAGGTCACACAGGCTTACTGTCCACTGTATAAAAATTCAGATTTCTTCAGGTTTAGATTTCTCAGCTGTGACACAGCATCAACCTGGACCCCTTCGTGTTGCCTGCATAGGGCTTAGGAAGCAAGGAGAACCAACGAGAAGGTGATGCTGATGCTGCTGGCTATGCAATGAGTAATACATTTACCTGTCTCTGACCCTAGAATGCCATGACTTCAGCCAGCACCCATGAAACTGTGTCAGGATGTAAGTTAACTTGCCAGCTTGCAAGTACGGAACAATTTCCGATCCACCACATTAACAATTAGTATATATTATATAGTATTAAAAATTTTACACACAGTGGCAGCCAAAAATCTCTTGACATGTTACACTTCTGTGGTGCAATCTCCTAATCTATTTTCAATTGGGTGGATATGTCTGAACGACCACAAAGAGACAACTTATATTCCTTTTAACTTTCCTGTAGTTTCCCAAATTTTCTTCAATGGTTATATATTTCTTTTATTTTTAAAAAATTTATCTTGATAAACTTATTTTGTAACAACTTCAGGCTGATACAAAAAATAGTATACATAAAAAGTAGAAATAACTTTAGTTTGCAAAGACAGCACAGAAAGTTCCCGTTTATCCCCACTCCCTTCCTCACTGGTTTCTCCAACGTTAACATCTTACATAACCATAACACAGTTGTCAATACTAAGAAACCAACACTGGTACATTACTATTAAGTAAACTCCGGACTTTATTTGGATTTCACTTGTTTTCCCATTAGTGTTCTCTTTCTGTTCCAGGATCCCATCCAAATCACCACATTGCATTTAGTGTGTGTGTGTGTGTGTGTGTGTGTGTGTGTGTGTGTGTGTGTGTGTGTGAGAGAGAGAGAGAGAGAGAAAGTGTGTGTGTGTTATTTTGCATTTTAACATCCTTATTGAGATGTAATTCACATACTAGAAAACTGGCCCATTTAACGTATATAATTCAATAGTACTAGTATATTCATAGAGTTGTGTAACCATCACCACTATGTAATTTTAAACATTTTTATCTTGACAAAAAGAAACCCTATATCCATTAGTAGTCATGCCTCACCCCCATCCCCTGTCCCCTAGTGCCTAGAGAGCCACGAATGTATTTCTATCTCTACAAATTTGCTTACTCAGGACATTTCATACAAATAGAGTCACACATTATTTGGTCTTTCATGCTGGGTTCTTTCACTTAGCAAAATGTTTTTGAGGTTCACCCATGTTGAAGCATGTAACAGTACTTTACTTCTTTTATTTCCAAATAATATTCTACTGTATGGATATATCCACATTTTACTTATCTATATGCATCAGTTGATGGAAATCTGGGTGGTTGTTTTTTTTTTCACTTTCTGACTGTGACGAATGATGCTGCTATGAACATTCAGAGTTTTTGTGTGGACATGTTTTCAATTCTCCTGGGCATACGCCTAGGACTGGAACTGCTGGGTTACATACATGGTAACTTTATGTTTAATACTTTAAGGAGATGTCAGACTGTTTTCCAAAGTGGCTGTACCATTCAACAATTTTTCTACATTCTTGTCAACACCTATTTTTGTTATCTTTCTTATTGTAGCTACCACAGTAGGTGTGACATGGGTGCTCATCCTGAGTTTCTTTTTTTTAATGGAAAAATCTATTTTAAAATCTATTGTTACTTTCTAGAAAAGGAAGATTGTGTGAAGATGTAAGGCTCGCCATGCTGGGATGTTTCTATCCTTCTATTTTTTAAAAACTGTGTTAAGTATCTTCTATATAATAAACACTGTACCAACCAAGCCTTAAAAGCAGAAGTAGTAAAATAGCTTGTCCTCAAAGAACTCACAGCTTACATGTGAGATGTGAAAATGTTAGGTCGGTCAATAAGCCTACCATAGCATCTTGCATAGTAGACAATGAAATGTGTGTTCACTTGGACAATGCATGCTGTAATTAATAGAGATGGGAATGACAGTGAATGGAACACCACATTGCATAGAGTATTTTCGTGCTACGTATATTTCTGGTTGGGTCACAAATGTTATATATACAGAGACACTGGGCCGGAATTACAATTTTCCATCTTAGTTCATTGTGTTTGTGTGTGTGTGTGTGTGTGTGTGTGTGTGTGTTACAATTTTCCATCTTAGTTCATGATGTGTGTGTGTGTGTGTGTGTGTGTGTGTGTGTGTGTGTGTGTATGTGTTAAAAAACAGAGAATAGAGAAGTCAGAGATGGCACACACCAGTGTCTAAGAGCCAGAGAACTCGGGAGATTAGAGCTTCACAGAAGCTGCTGCAGAGAAGTCAAAGCAGATACAAAACAAAAAGAAGTTACTGAATTTGGCAACTGTGAGCTCAGGAGTTCAAGACCAGCCTGGGCAACATGGAAAAACCCTGTCTCCACAAAAAATACAAAAATTAGCTGGACATGGTTGTGGGCGCCTGTAATCCCAGCTACTCAGGAGGCTGAGGTGGGAGGCTGGCTTGAGCCCGGGAGGTGGAGGTTTCAGTGAGCCAAGACAGCACTGCTGCACTCCAGCCTGGGTGACACAGCCAGACACTGTCTCAAAAAAAAAAAAAAAAAAAAAAAAAAAAAAAAAGGCTGTAAAGGAACTCATTATATTTCTAGATTCATGATACTTTAAAGTACCATCCCATAGATTTGACCTTTTTACATACCCCTGAGAAGGCATGTTGCCATTTTAGAGAGGAAGAAAACACACTCAGTGAGGCTTGGTGATTTGTGGAGAGCATACATGTAGATGAACTATATTGTATTTATAGCTTTATCTGCTCAAAAGACCATAAGCTTCCAGAGAACAAAATCGCATCTATTTAACGGATCTCCCCAATGAGTAGTAAGTGCATGGTTCATGGTGGATGCCTAATGAATAATCTTTGAATTCATTATCCTCAGTGATTCTGAAGAAAAAAGTGGAGAGACTCCCTGAGGATTACAGCCCTGCTTCCCTTTACTAGACCCATAAAAAACCTGAGGCCAAAGGAGGCAAAGTAATTTGATGAAAGTAATAAATATTTCAAAACAGAGGACCCAAGGTTTCCTCACTTCCAGTCCACCACAAATTTCCCCCTCAAGAGTCTCTTCTTGTTCTTTTCCCTTTTTCTTCTTTCTCCTTTCATTTTCCCTCCTTCCCTCACTTCCTTCCTTTTCAGAAGAAGAAGCTGTCACCCCAGGCTGGAGTACAGTGGTGCAATCATACCTCACTGCAGCCTCAAACTCCTGGGCTCAAGCAATCTTCCTGTCTCAGCCTCCTGGGTAGCTAGGACTACAGGCATGTGCCACCATGCCCAGTTGTTTTTTAAAAATTTTTTTGGAGAGGCAGGGGTCTCACAATGTTGCTTAGGCTGGTCTTGAACTCCAAGCCTCAAGCAATCCTCCCACCTCGGCTTCCCAAAGCATTAGGATTGCAGCCGCGAGCCACTGTGCCATCTCTTCTTATTCTTATATTTGTCTTAGAATTCAATAATAATTGTTTACAATTTTTTAGTATTAAATTGAATAAGTTTGGCAAAGTGTATTTCACATCTTCAAGAAAGATTTATTGGAAAACAGTCATTGTTGATTTAGACAAAAATATTTAGAAAATAAGGCATTACTGAAATGACACAAGTAAAATATGAAACTGGATACCAATTTTTTTAAATATCAAAATGCTGTAACTGAAAAAAAAACTGCTGTTTGTTTGTTGTTGGCTCTGTCAATTACTAGAATCCTGTGGTTTTAATCACCAGCAGTTAATTAACAATGATGTCCTGAGGAGGCTCACTGTCTCTAAGAACACAAGAAGCTCAAGCAGATCTGAGATGATGCACACTTTCGGGCAGGTTCTCTCTTCTGAATTAGGCTTCATTCGTAAACATTTAAAAGTAAAACCCATACTGAAGAACAGTAACATTTCCGATAATTCGGGGCTTCTGCACCAGGATTGGGAAATCTAGCAGAAGGCGGCTTCTTAACACTATCTTGCTGTCAGCTACACACTGACACTCATCCACACAACTAGCCAGCAGCACTTATGGAGTGCTCACTTTAGGCAAGAAACCAGGTTAAGGTACAGCAATAGACAAGAAGGTGAAAAAGATGATTCTGATTACAATTGGCATAGTAGCTACCACGGTTTATAAGTATAATTTTAACACAAAATGCCTTGGGTTACGAAGGCTTGACATCCCAAGATGATAGATATATACATACATCCTTATGAGTCTACGGATTATCAGATTCAGTGAGACAGCTCCACAAACCATGGCCTATAAGTTTGGAAACACTGATTAATTTGTGTAATACAATAGGTACACAAATAGCTAAAATCCACAAAAGAAAGTCCCCAGCATGAAAATAATTCCTGCTCAAGAATCTGGGAAAAGCTCAACAAAAGCGTTGGTATATGAGGTAGGCTTTAAAAGCGGACAATATGCTTGCAAGAGAAAGATGGTAAGGCAGGGAATTCTAGCTATACGAAAAAAGCATGAGCAAAGCAGTTAGGACACTCCAGAGCTGGACTTCATAGCCTTTCACGTCACAGACTCCTTCAAGAATCTGCAGGAAGCCATGGAACCCTCACCAGGAACGTGCACACTACGTCACAATCGGCGGTTCTTTGCATAACCTCATAACCCAGGCTAAAGACCTTTGCTTTTGATGTTTTTCAGGAACACAAAAAGCCCAACAGTATCCAGAAATGTAAACTGAGCAAGGAAGAACAACAGGAGATACAGCTACAATGAATCTAGGCTTTGTTCTCTAACAAGGGTGGACCCTGTCAATCATATAAGAAAGGTAGTAAAAAGATCAGTACTATACTTGGCCAATAACTCTAGATGTGTACAGATACAATGGGAGAGTAGGGAGGAAGGAAACACACAGTATCTGAGACACAAAAGCCAATTAGGATGAGCCTGAACTAGTCTAGTCTAGAGGTAGTGTATACCTGGACTGGGAAGCACATAAAAGGTATACATCAGAGAGCTAGTACAAAGGGCAAAATTCACAGAAGTAAGAGAGAAAAACAGGTCAAAGATCCACAATGAACAGAAATAGGAAATCTAGAGGGAAGAAGATGATGTACTCCATTTGCCCATGTTGAGTTTGAAATAACAATATGTCCTGCAAATGGTTACACAAGGTTTCGGAAGCTTGAGAGAAAGGCTGGCGCTAGCTTCATTTGTTCTTGAGATAACAGACGAAAAGAGCAAGCAGGAGAGCAAAGGCAGAGCTTGCAAAAAGAAAAGACACACTAAAGGTGGCATTCATAGTAAATAATACCTATTCGCAGATGGGGTGGTTTGGAAAGCTCATACTTGCTGGCTTCTTACAAACACAAACAGGACAAAAGTAAGTGTGCATTAGGGAAATGCAAATCAAAACCACAATGAAATAACACTTCATATCCAACAGGACAGCCATCATTTAAACAAAAAAAGATAGAAAATAAGTGTTGGCGAGGATGTGTTGAAATTGGAATTCTTGTTCATTGCTGGTGGGAATGTAAAATGGTGCAGGCACTGCGGAAAACAGTATGACAGTTTCTCAAAAAAAAAAAAATTAAACATACAATTACCTTATGATCCAGCAATTCCACTTCTGGGTATACATGCAAAGAACTGCAAGCAGGAACTCAAACAGATATTTGTATACCAATGCTCATAACAGCATTATTTGCAACAGCCAAATGGGGGCAACAGCCCAATGTCAATTGATGGATGAATGGGTAAACAAAATATGGTATATACTTACAATTGAATATTAGTTTGCCTTAGAAAGGAAATTCTGACACATGCTATAATATGGATGAACCTTGAAGATATTATGCTAAGTGAAATAAGACAGTCACAAAAGGACAAATGTTGTATGACTCCACTTAGTACCTAGAGCAGTCAAATTCATAGAGACAGAAAATAGAACGGTAGTTGCCAAACTAGCAAGCAAAGAGAATGGGAAGTTAGTGTTTTAACAGGTAAAGAATTCCAGTTTGGGAATATGAAAAAGTTCTGGAGAGACAGCTGGTGGGATGGTTATATAACAATGTGAATGTACTTAATGCCACTGAACTATATACCTAAAAATGGTTAAAATTTATGGTATGTACCTTTTATCACAATTAAGAAATGAATGAGCAGCAGTTAGAGATATGCAAGCTTGTTTAGAGAAAAGTAGTCAGGCAGCCCACACAGTTAGAGTCAGAGCCAGTAATCTGGGCCAGACACTACCAATCATGGTCAATGTCATTAACCAGAGGACAAGCTCCATATGTACTGTGTGTGGAAAGAATGTCAAAACATGTATCAGCATTTTCAACCACATCCTGTGAAACAGCAATACCACCAAGCGTATCATATTCATGTGTGAAGAATATTGTGCTTACTATAAAGTAAGCTGCTTAAGAGATGTAAAGTTGATTACAAAACATCTCCCCCCTCCTTCTGCCCTATTTCAGAATCATTGATGTGGCAGATACATTTGTTCTAGTCTTGGTTCTATTCATCAACAACTCCACTATTTCTTTCTCACTCAAACAACCAAGGCAACTTAAACGCCACACTATGTGGCTCCATTTGAAACACTGTCAGAGTGCTTCCTACAGGCCAGATACAATGCCAGGCCCTGAGTACATACATGGAAAGACATCTGAAACTTCGTTTTTTAAGCGATGGGGGTCTTGCTAGGATGCTCAGGCTGGTCTTGAACTCCTGGCCTCAAGTGATCCTCTTGTCTCAATCTCCCAAAGTGCTGGGGTTACAGGCGTGATGTGAGCCACTGTGCCTGGCCACATCTGAAACATACACTGCAGGAAATCAAAAGCCACCAGACATTTTTTTCATTAAAGGGATCCTGTTCTCATGTTAGTCTCTTTTCCAAACGTGATTCAAAGACTGAGGTTTTCACGCTAACAGATAAATTGGATCCTTATACTATCAACACTCTTCTCAGTCAGTTCTGAGACTAGGCTTGGCAAAAGATTCTGATCATCAGCAGAATTAGGAGACGGGATAGGAAAAAATCATCAGTGTTGGCAATGCAAATAATTTGAGTTTAAAGAGAAAAATGAAGATGATTATGTATCTTTCTATTCAGATTTACCCTTTTGGAATCTTCAGCTGTGAACAAAGTATAGGACTGGCAACTGACTAAATGGGTAGGAAAGTGAATGGGTGATGTAGAGAAGCAAGTAGCTGGAAATGTGGAAAACAGAGATTTTACCATTAAACATCTACATCTTTTAGAGAGACAAGTCACCAAAACATACATTTTGGCTCTAATCACATTTATGACACTTTAGCTACAAAACATAGTCATTGGTTTTCCTTTGTCCATATTATCTCCATGACAACCAGTTCATGGACACCGCAGGTATTCAACATCCAAACTTCTGGTGAATTATGGTGCACATGAAATATGGGATAATGGAAGTTACCTCAGAAGAAATGCCAGACCTATCCAGGTTACTCTGAAATTTCTGACATGAAGCCTATGGACCCCTTGTGATTATCCCTAAACCACACCCACAATGTGTTCCCATCAGTCAGAAATAGAGCTGTACATATTTTCAGTGGAGAGGGAATTGTCTTTGTTTCTGGCAGTGTTTCTGTTACTGTTCGTATCTGAACATCCTAATAATACAGCTCATGGTTACACCCAGCCTTCCCAGCCACTAACCATATTTACTTCCTCTGCAACTGTCTCAGGAGATCCTGCCTGAGCTACAAGGCTGAACAAAAGGAAGCAAAAACCCACCATCCGGACATAGAAGCCAACACTTGAGTCAAAGTCTTTTCAGGGAATTGGACAGTATCTGAGTGGCTATATATGTGGTTGTCTTCAATCCAGAGCCTCCTTATGTCTTTTGTTTTGTTGCAATGCGGACATCTCTTACAGTAAGCAAACTTTTAGGGAATGTGTGTTTCTCTGCAAAATGACACCATAATTAGAGACAGACTATTCCTCCTCAGCCTTAGCCAATGAGCTCGTGTGGCCTGCCCAAGTGTCGTGAGTCGGGGGGGAATCGTCCTGCTCTGTAAATATTTTCATTCAATGTAAACAAAACACAGTTGCAAATCTTTTAACCATTCAGCTAATTAATGTTCTGAATTACTGCCTATAAAATACTCTCTATAAATCATCAGTAACAAGAAGAATCACATTACTATTAACAGGCAGTATTTTTCCAGGTACCCAAAGTTATAAAATTAGTAAAACAGCAATGGCCCAGGCTAAAAGCAGTGCAAATCAGCAGTTAATCCTTGATTCTGACCTGCTTCCTTTTGGTACACTAATTTTACAGTCAGTTTCTGATACCTGCTGTCCTCTAGTAATGCTCACCATGAGCTAAAGTTGGCTACTGAACTCAGTTAGGTGAAAGCTCCCATCAGTTACCAACTTCCGAGGTCAACACTAGCTTTTTGAAGGATGCTGAGGAAAATGGGCATATTGGTACCAAAGGGCCCATGCCAACAATTACAATTCTTTCATATCCCATTTTTAGCATATGATTCATAGTTACCAACCACATACTGTAAGAGTCAGAAGTGCATGCATCAAGAAAAGGAGAACTGGGGGAATGTCATATACAGAGGAACAGGAATGGGTATGTGTATGTTACGCTGGAGAACAGACAGGTGGGTGACCAAGGAATACTATCAACTTAGGTTTTATTACTTAGAAAAAGTTCAGAATAGAGGTAATATTTCAGAGGCATTGGGGGTTGATGATGGGACAGAAGAGCTGATGTGAGGATGACACTAGCGTACCCAGCCTCAGGGAAATCTTACAAGAAGGTCTTGATACAGAAAAGCTACCGTGAAACTATGCAGAACTAACAAAGGAAGCAGGGCAGAATGCAGAAGCAGCCAAATAAAGCGTGGGTATATAACACAGAATGAGAATGCTGAAGCTAATCTACAGTGAATTATTAGGATGTCAATGGGAGGGATTGGAGTTGTTAAATGTGGAATACCAAAGTGACAGGCTCACAATTTAAACTCTGTAATTACTGCCATATTTCACCTCATCTGTTAAACACAATTTATATAACATGATGCTTATGAATCCATACTTACAAAGATAAATTCATTTAACCAACAAACGTTGTTTTGAGTGTTTAGATAATATTAATGAACAGATAAAAATGACAAACTCCTTAGTACAAAAAAGCAAATTTCCACAGATAAAAGTGGAGAAAGTGCACATGACGGCTTGAGAATTTATGTGGCACAGGCACCCAACTATAGTTTTTAAAACACTGATAGAAAATACTGAAATTAGAAATAATTTTGTAGAAATAATTGGAGAACACTACCAAATGGTTTTTTAGAATTGTGAGAAAACTTTGCTAAAAATCATGGGACAAAATGAACTTATATGACATGGTGTACCTATCCTAAGTATTGTAGAAGGAATTCCTGCACTGAGAAAGAAGAGAACAAAAGTCTAAGATAGAAAAAGAACACATACGCTTATATCAATAAAAGCTAATATACATATTCATGTAATAAGAGGAATTTATCGACTCAAAAAAGAGGTCTAGAATAGCAGGAAAAACATGGACTTTGAAAACAGTCCAACCTGGGACTGCACTCTATTATCAATTACATATGAGATGTGAGACACTGGGAAAGTTATTAACTACACCAATCTGTTTTCCTGTACGTAAAATGAGACAAAGAGTAGGAATGTAAACACTATATGCCTGTGTCTCATATCCATTCACTTCTTCCCACTTCAGACCACAAAATCCTCTTATCCTGCCTGTGCTATCATAACGGCAGGCTAACCGATTACTACCAGAATAATCTTTTCAACACGTACACTGAGAGGTAAGGCATCCTCCCCATAGCTGTTAAGGCCCTGCTCTTCCAGGTCCCACCTCTGGCTCCGGCCTTCTCATCCTGCTACCCCACTTTCCACTCAAGGTGCTCCCATCCACCACAATGGCCCTGTCCATTCCTTCCTTCCTCAGGGCCCTGTATTCACTGTTCATTCTTTCTAGAGAGCTCTTCCTTAGCATAGCTAGTGTCTTTCCATCCTCTGGAGATCAGCTTTTTAAATGTCTGCACCTCGAAAAGATCTTCTGTCTAAAGACCATTCTATCTGAAATAGTTCTGCCCATTATTCCCTACACAGCACCCTACTCATTTCTTTCAAATCAATTATAACAGTTTGTACTTATTTATTTCTCTATTTATTGTCTACCTTTAAGCAATAATGGGATAAAGACTGTAACCCGTGGCTCGCATGGGATAGGTACTTAGGTTTCTTTGAGTTTATAGTTCTCAAAGATGTGGTCTTCTCCATCTCCAAAGCAAAGAAACTAACACCAAACGTCCCCATCTTATTTCAAACTGGAAACAGGGTGTTTTCAGGACTCCTAGTGTTTATTTACTAATGACTATTTTCTGAGAAGTGAAGTTTTCTCCACTGAAAATCTTTTATTATTTATTGGGCAGGATAGTACAAATACACAAAGACAAACACCTTTATTAGCTGTAGGTTTGTGGGGAAAACAAAAAAACAAAAAACCACATTCTTGTCACTCAAATTCTTCATACCCCTTACCATGCTCGAGAAAACCCTCGGGCTCTTCATATGAATATGGGGTAAAAAGTAACTGCCTGGCAAGTCTCAAATTAAGTAACGTATATGGAAGTGCTTCATTAAAACTATAAAACAGCAACTCTGAGGCCAATAAGCCTGTACTGATTTAGCTCCATTCACAAGGGCTTTCCATGCCCACCTAGAGTATAAAGTATTATATATTTTAGCATTATTTTAAATGTTCAATATTTCTTGTGATACTCAGATTTTCTTTTTATCCTTCTCCCCACCCGCAGGCAAAATCATAGGGTATCATGGACATAAAGATCCTAAAAATGAGATTCTCCTAAATACATTATATGAGGACAAAAATTTTAAAACATCACCGTGATCTCACAGAGAAAATCACATTTCTGAGAAACCAAAATGAATAATATCTTGGAACAATTTCAAAACACCAAGTTACCAACTGCTGGCAGCCGAGGCCCAGCAAGTCAACCACCTGACAGTGATTATGGAGAGACAATGACAACACTCTACCACAAATCACAACGCCTCTACCTAGTGCCCTGCCCAACATGGCATTTCATTGGTTTTTGTGTCTAGCCTTCTGAGCCCATTCCTTAGCCTCACTTGACCAAAGAAAAAAATCGAAAAGACCCAAGTAATAAACTGAATTGATAAATCAATAAAATAGGTCCACTATTTCCTTGACCAAGGCAATATATTTCCACTTTGCTTAAAATGACCCTCACCTCCACATACACCCTCACAAGTTCAGTTACTGAGGTTCTTTCTGTCATCTATGAAATGCTTGGTTGACTTCCAATTTCCCCTGCCTTTGCCAGAAAATTGCTAAATTTCCAAAAAGTGCTCTTTGAGCTGTCCAACATTCCCAGACTCTCATCTTACCGGCTGGAGGAGTTCTTACTAATTTTAGATTCAAGGATGCCTTCTGTGAGCAATTAGCTATTCAGAGTCTCCGCCCTCATCCTGCTTAGACACCAAACATCACTAATGCGGAGAACACAAACAAATACAGCTATCAACAAAGTCAGAAGCTACCTCTGAAAAGCAGTCAAACCAAGCCAAAAGGTCAGCTCTGCCACCTTAATAGATAGGTTTATTGGAAATCCTTCCAAAAGAAATAAATGTTGCCTATCCTTCCCCTAAAGAATTGAACGAGACAGTAGCAGAAAAACAGAAAAGACTCAGACAAAAGACAGAAATACTTAAAAGACAGAGGCAGAGAGACTGACAGAGAAAGAGACCAGGCAGATGGGGGTGGAGTCTGGGGGCGGAGGGGTGACAGAGACAGAAGGACAAACAGAGCAACTTGGAAGGTGAATTTCTCTCTCTGTGATTTTCAACAGTATGAGGTTCTCCCAAGCATAAGAATCCATTTTAATGAAAGTAAAATTACATTTCAACAGTAAGTGGTCCAATGCTGATTACCAAGCACCTATTGCTTCCTGTTCAGATATTCCTTTAAGAGGCTTACATTCACCCCTCATCCTCCACTGTGCACAGATTTCTCGGCCTTTCTCCCAATACAGGAGGGCCAGGGACATGGCTACCGGGTTCAAAGCGCTAAAACAGCCTGCAGAGCTTCAGAATGCATGAGGTGCAGCCCCCCTTACCTTCAGCAATACCACGTCCACAGTCCTGTCCACCTTGGAGATGTCACAGAGGCTGTAGCGCCTCTTGTGCCGTTCATACATTTTGCCCAAATGCAAGAAAGAACAGAGAAAATGCAGGAAGTATATCCACTGTTAACTTGGGGACCAGTGCAAGTCCTTAGTTCCAAATTTCTCACGGTTAGGTGGTGGAGATCTCTGCCTTCCAGACTCCTCTCTATTAAAACTCTCAAAGGGGTCAAAAACAATGAATTAAAAAGAAATCAAGCAGAATCCAATGCCTTGAACTGACTGAGAACTTGCTGATAACTTCAGAGTGCTGGAAAGATGAATGTAGAACTCATAATATAAACAATAAATACCACCTAATGCTATACTTTGTGCAGATCTTGACTGAAAGAGAAGCAAACACCGTTTCCATCACTGGCAATGACTCCAGTAAAAAAATAAAGAATAAACTGGCTAAGCATAACGGCCGATACACGTAGGGAAAAAAACCCAAGAAGGCAATAAAAATCCAGTATATACTTTGCCAGGAAGAGGGAGAGAAAGAAAGGAAGACGACGCTATTTCAAAGCGATGGCATGAAAAAAGTCATTAGATTCTGTTCTTGCTTAAAACAAAAACAAAGACAAAGAAAATCTACTTTTCCTTAAAAAAAAGTAGAAGCTGGGAGATGCTTTTCAAAGTAAAGTCTTTGGAATCTCTCTTGCTCACCAGGCAGTAGGGCTTGGTTTTGATTTAAGTTGAAAATCTCTAAGGACAGCAGAGTAAAAGGGAAAAAAATAAAAGACCACTCCTGCTGTACTCCCTCCCTCCCTCCTTCCCTCCCTAGCCAGCCTCCTCCTCCCTTTTTCCTTCTCTCTCAAGAACGTCACTGCTTGCCCTTTCAGCTCCGCACCCGCAGCCTTGGAGGTTTGAAAACCCAATTGCAGTTGTGGGAACATGATTCATCTACCGAGACGAAGAGAAAAACAAGGCTTCCTTTTCCAACCCGCTTCTTCTTCCTCCTCCTCCTCCTCCCACCCCTATGAAAAAGGCTCTGTCAGGCATTGCAAGATGCAGCTCAGTTCTTTGATGTCAGAGTAGTATGCTAATAAAGGAAGGGGGGTGTTATACTAAACACCACAAGCGTGTACAATGGACTTGTCGTGAGGTACAGAAAATTGAAACTACCCAAAGCATACACTATACCTCCCTGCCAAATGCAAAGCAATGATTTAACACGAGAAAAATGTCAGCCAAATATTGCAGTTATGTCTCTAGGATCGAGACGTGGCTATAAATGTGTCTGATAAAGTTTAAAAATTATCAAGAGTTAAGCTTTATTTTTGGGGAGGGAGAAGGGATGATGGAGTTGATTTAAAGAAAATGAAAAAGAAAAGGAGTGGAACAAAGGAGTTCTGTGTATGTTAATATTTGTTGCGACTAAGTATAGCTGCCTGGCTGGGACTTCTTCAGTGTTTCTATGCACACTAACTGGGTCTTGAATTGTGGGTCTGCTACTTCATTTGCCTGTTTTCTTACTATTCCAGACCCTTCTAGCCCCCCACTCTATCTAACATTCTCAGGGACAGACTTACTTCAGAATGCATTCTCTCACCTGAGACATTCTCTTACTTGGATCATGAATGATTTGGGAGGGAAAAGGATGAGGAACTGAGGGAAGCAAAAAGCAGAAAGGAGTGAAGAAACAAAAGAAAAAGGGATTAAAAAAAAAAAAGGATTTCTCTTTCTAGGAGCTGCTGACATTTTCCTTGAGTTGTCCAGAGTAGTCCTTAGCTAGGCTGTGAAAGCAGTGGCTCAAATACCACAACAGAAGGGGAGAGGAGAGATTTAACACCTACATTTCTGTTGACATTGCAAACAAAGTTGGTGAAAAGGTTTTTCAGGAGCTAAAAAACGGATATAGAAAAAGGGTATAGATGAGTTGCTGTGTCCTCAGGCCAGATATTCAAGTTGCTGACCAGCTTAAAGGAGGGAAATACAGCAAACCCTGCTAAGAAGACTGTAAACGTCTTCCTCAACTTTCTATTAATACACCCCAGCTACATACAGGCTTTATTCTGAAATAAAAGCCATAAGGTTTTATCTCCCTATTCCTCACTGGTTCATCCGAGGAATGAAGGCGGACAACCCCTCCCCTTCTCGTGCCCCAAGTGAGCCTTGGCTCTGTAGTGGTACCAACATGTGCAGTGAAACAGATGTTGCTTTTCATTACAAATGAGGCTACAAAACAGTAGAAACAAGACGATTTGACAGAGATTTAAAAGTTGTAAATAAAATTCTTGCTCAGGCTTATCAAAAGCATGGGAACTTGACCAGAGATTTACAAATACTTCCAAACTATGTGGTCTAGGGCACAGACAGAAAGAGCCTTTAGGCTTGAATGTATAGATAAACTGATACTTTATTATCTTTTCTGTAAAAGCTTTCACCAAGCTAGAATGTAGAACTCGCCCTTCTTCTTTTTTTGAACACAGAGCTGCCTCCCCTCTGTCCTCAATATGGTTTGTTCCTCACTGCCACTCCCTTCTGTTTTAATTAGAATCAAATGATTCCTGCTTCCAAGGTTCCCAGGCATCTGTCTCTCTAGGGATCAGAGATGGTTTAATCACCATTAAAACCCTCCTACCGGCTGGGCGCGGTGGCTCACGCCTGTAATCCCAACACTTTGGGAGGCCAAGGCAAGCAGATCATGAGGTCAAGAGATCCAGATCGTGGCCAACATGGCGAAACCCCCATCTCTACTAAAAATACAAAAATTAGCCAGGCATGTTGGCACATGCCTGTAGTCCCAACTATTCAGGAGGCTGAGGCAGGAGAATCGTTTGAACCTCGGAGGCGGAGGTTGCAGTGAGCCAAGATCGCGCCACTGCACTCGAGCCTGGCAACAGAGCAAGACTCCGCCTCAAAAAACAAAAAACAAAAACAACAACAACAACAAAAAAGCTTTTCTACCCTATCCCTGTCCAGTGACTTACATGCAGATAATTTATAACAATGTAACAGATATTTTGTGACTTCTAGTGGAGGCAAGCAAAATAAATAGGTAACAAGGTGTCTGTCTTCAGGAAGTTTTTAGGAGAGAGAAACTTGTTTCAAAATAATATAATTTTCTGAAAGAGCCTAGATTACTGTTTGAGACATAAAGACTAACCTTTTTATTTCTAACTTCTGGCTTTGTGCCACAGGCTGGAAAGCTAGATTTCCTGCTCTTTCTGCATATTAAAGGACAATTCCTTACATATTCTGTTCCTTGTTGGAGGACAAATACCCTGGGTGGGAAACAAATGCTCTGGGTGGAAAAAAGAGTCTGTGTTGCTTTCCCCTCTGGATCTGCTCAGCACTCCCCAACAGAAGACAGAATCTGCAGTCTTGTGCTTTTGCAGTTGATGTGACAATTCCAAGTTTTTATCAAAAACATCTGGAACCATTGAACAGTAATTCTGCCAGGATTTTGAAATACAGCAACCAATCATTTCATATCTAAACCAGAGCTGAGAGTTACAAATTTAAAGGAGGTTCTGAGTTTATTTCCCTTTTCTTTTAATTTGGGGAACCTGTAGTAAAATATTTTATTATTTACAGCCATACTACTTAACAGTAGTTACTTACAGTATTAATTGTCTTTCCTTTCTTTCTGCAGCCTCCATCCTGCCCTCTATCCACACAAATGGTCCCAGATTCTTTAAAAACAACCAGTGCTTTTAATCTGTCTCATGCCACAGGGCCAACATGCAATTATTAAAGATTCCAGAAAATGAAATATAAAAATATTTTATACATCTTAATTTAGCTATAGCATTTGTGTTCATGAATTAAATTTTCATTTGATTTACTTAACTACAAGATCTAGCACCTTACCAAATTGTTTAAGCATTCTTATGGGTCAACACTGTGGCTGCTTTAGTTCCAGTTAGGGCAGAAGCCCATCTGGAGTCTCACAGCAAAGTTTCTGAATTAGGACACCACCTAGTGGGGGATGCTGAAGACCCAAACAGAACACCAAAGGCCAGTGAATATTTTTGTGGGGGTGTGGGGATAGGGGTAGGGCTCATCTTCTGCTACTATGTATTTTTTCCTGAAACCCCAAAGTGAACATAAAGTAGCAGCATGTGAATGGACACTGGTTAATGACTCATCAATGATCAATTTTACTCTCTGCAGAGAACACAAGGTACTAAGTGAAAATCAAGGGTTCTTTGTCTTCCTAGGTGTGCCATTATCTCACTGAGCAACTTGGGAGATACTAGTTTGACCCTCTGGACCAAGATTTCCAGAATGGAAAAATTAGAGATTCAACGCTAGGTCATATCTGAAGATCCTTCTTGCTCTAATATTATATACTGCCAGTCTGAGACTAGGAAGTTATCACATGCCATATAGTTCATGGGATACGGTAGTTTCAGAGGAGAAAGAAAAAGGAATTGAGACATTCTCTTAAAACTTGCAGAAAACATTATTCCTGCATAATGACACTTTCTACCTTTGTTCTTCACATGAAATGGGAAGGAAGGAAAAGTTTACCACAGTCAACAATTTTCATTAATCTAAACTTAAATATAGTGATCCATCCAGAGTTACACATATGTTGGTGGTAAAATGTATTAGAATACAGATAAAACATTTAGCCTCCACTTGAGCAACTCCTGTCTGCTTAGATAATAGACTGCTTCAAATAAGACAAATGAATATTTGAGAGGTGAAAGAAGAAAATACTTTACAATGGCTGCAAAGGATCGTCTCCAATTAGGCTTTCCTTGTACTATGGCTCCAGGAGAAGCAGGTCTACTGTTCCCTCCTAGCATTCACTAACATACAGATTTGAAGATTACAAGACAGTAAAAGGGTAAAGGAGAAGGAGAGACCTAGAAGGCTATAACCACCATTTCTTTTCAAATTAGTAGCAAGCAGTAGCCAACAGCTCCTTTCCTTAACCCTTTACTATCTTTGCAAGAAGAAAACTTAAGACAATTTAACTGGCAGCAGCTAACTGACAATAATAGCAACAATTAAAATAACAACAAACTAATATGGAACAATATAAGAAAAAAGTATCTTCGTAAACTTGTGCTCTTTACAGGAACAAGGTCTCATGGATCATACACACAAATGTTAAATTCTACTAAAATTACCAACAGCTTTGTGAAATAAAAGGAGGGAGGAAGGAAGAAAGGGAGATGGCAGAATCAAAATTTCAGTTGGGAAAAAGTGACAGGATAGTTTAATCTTGAGGACAAGTCTTCTGGAGCAAGATTTATTAACCACAACATTTACTGAATACCTCCTGTTTGCCAGGTGCTTCCACAGGTACAATTTCATTGATTCCTCATAAAAACCTGTAAGGTGAAATTTTACTGTCTATTTTACAGATGAGGAAAAGTAGCACTTAGAATTTAAGTCAGTTATATAACATCACACAGCTAATAAAACAGATTTGCTTTAAACTCAGTTGTGTAAATCAGTCTTTCCACTACATCTAATTTTGCCACTTGATAAATCCCCCAAGAAATGAAACTATAACAGAGAAAAGTTAGTATTTGAGGAAAGAAAACTTGGGATTCATTACTCATAATCAATATCCCTACATTTGATTTTACATAAATGCTAAAGGACAGAAAAAGATGTTTTTTAAAAAATAAAAATGCCAAGTGATTCTTAATTTTACATTAAACGGACTCAACTTCTCTGCCAACATTTCAATATTTGACATTCCACTTTTTAAAAGTTTCTCTCTATAGTAATATCTTACAAAAATAGAATGAACAAACCAAACATACAGACTAAAAGATCTCTGGATATTGCTACCCAAGTCTTCCTGAAAATGAACAGATACACTGATCTGGCTTTTCTCTTTGGAGCAAACATTCATTATTTCTTTTGGCAGCATTTCAGATATTTAAAGATGGCCGTCGTGCTTCACCACCCTCTTCAGGCTTCTCTTTCGAATCATGATTCCCACAACGGCTCCTCAGACAACAGAATACCTGAGTGCTCTCTAGTTAGTGTACTTCTTGTGATGTGGATGCCCCAAACAAAATCCTCTGACATGGTGCACACTGGGATAACTAAGATCAAATTGGTTTTCTTGACACACATATTACACCGCTAGAAGAATAAGTTTATTGTGAAATAAACTTACTTCCCATATATTTTCTTTCAGTGTGACTTACAGTATCAGGTCTCCTTTAAACTATAATCTTGTGATTTTGTTTTAAAACCTACTTTATAGCTTTCTGTATAGATATATTCTCTCAAATAAATTCTCATTTGTTTTAAAGTTATCATTTTAGCCTTAAGAGAGTATAGTGAACCTAAATTCCATCACTGAAGTAACAGCTGTTTCTCCAAACTCTGTATCATTCATAAATCTGAAGAGCAAGGCTAATGATGGAACCCAGAATTAAATCACTAAAAGCCTCCCCTGGTAGGACATCTGTCCATCAATCAGCACTCCTAATATATATATATATATATATATTTTTTTTTTTTTAGACGGAGTCTGGCTCTGTTGCCCAGGCTGGAGTGCAGTGGTGAGATCTCGGCTCACTGCAAGCTCCGCCTCCGGGGTTCATGCCATTCTCCTGCCTCAGCCTCCTGAGTAGCTGGGACTACAGGCGCCCGCCACCACGCCCAGCTAATTTTCTACATTTTTAGTAGAGACGGGGTTTCACCGTGTTAGCCAGGATGGTCTCGATCTCCTGACCTCGTGATCCACCCGCCTTGGACTCCCAAAGTGCTGGGATTACAGGCGTGAGCCACCGCACCCGGCCCCAGCACTCCTAAGATTAAGTAAAATGCTGGTCTATCAGCTACAAAGCCAACTGAATTCTGAGTCCCATACCTCCATCTTCTATACAATACAGAATAATTAATAAAACTTCTTCCTGAAATTAATACATACTAAATGTATGGCATTCTCCTATTCAACCTATCAAATAATGCTATCCAAAAGGGAAATGAGACACTACTCATGCAGTGTACTGTTTGATAACCATTTATGTTGTCTATTTAAAACCAGATCCTAAAGACTGTTGTATTTGATAAAACTATAAGCCATATTTACTCATAGTTTTGAATCTTCTAACAACATTTCTTTTTAGCATGACCACAAGAACATAAGACAGTCCAGCACTGACAAAAACAAAAACAAAAGCTACTTCATAATAGTACAATGACACAAGAACTTCTTCTCACATGTAGAAATCTTACCAATTTCATGAAGCCCGTAAGTGCAAATTTTTGAGTAAAATTACTATAAATAATAGCATCCCTTTTAAGGCATTAAGGTAAGAAGAATATGTTCTCTCCACATTTACTTTTTCTTTCTTTTTTTCTTTTTTTTTTGTGAGACAGGGTCTCACTCTGTTGCCCAGACTGGAGTGCAGTGGTACAATCTTGGCTCACCACAACCTTCGCCTCCCAGGCTCAAGTGATTCTCCTGCCTCAGCCTCCTGAGTATCTGGGGATTATAGGCACGTGTCACTACTACCCAGCTAATTCTTGTATTTTTAGTAGAGACGGTGTTTCACCATGTTGACCTGGCTGGTCTTGAACTCCTGACCTCAAATGATCCACCCGCCTCGGCCTCCCAAACTGCTGGGATTTACAGGTGTGAGCCACCACGCTTGATCTACTTAAACATGATAACTATACCATCAAATAGTCAATTCAAATGAATTCACAACCTTATGCTATTTTTCCCACCCAAATAGTTGGTATATATACAAGTGCAAAATGCGTATGTGATTCAGACAAAACCACCAGTAAAAAAAATCTATTTCAGATGGTAATCTAGATCTTGAAAAGTATTTATTATGAGGTAATTTTTAAACAGGTTTACTAAAGTATAATTTACACATAATAAACTGCACCTATTCAAAGCATAATAAATGTTTCATGTATTGTCAAATTTTCCTAACATGTTTTTAAGATACATTAGAACTTTTAAAACCTGAGGGCCAAGAACACTAAACATGGCAAATAGAGTAACTAACAATTTCAACAACAACCAGGAAATTTCACATGGAAAATCTGTGACATTATTGGGACTGTATAGTACAACTCCATGTCACTGCCCTAAATCTTCAATAAGCTTTTCAGTAAAGTTTAATCATTAGGCAACTATTTATTAAACATGTACGCTTGGCATCGAGGATACGGCAGTGAACAAAATGGATATTAAATAATTACAATCATGTTTGAGACTGGCCCTTACAGTATATTACTAATCTGAGACTTGATGGAAGACTTAATAGGAATTAACCAGGCAAAGGGTGTATATGTGTGGATGGTGCTGTAGGGAGGCAGGCAAGGAAAGCTAGAGAGACTGACCTGTGTCTACGTTCAGGCAGAAGACTGCATAAGGCCCAGAGGGAAGAAAGAGCACAGAGACAAAGGATGAGGCCAGCCCCAGCTGAACATGTTACTTGTGTTCACAAGTGTATTGTCGCTACAATAGGAAAAGCAATCGAAGAGTTGTTAGCAAGGGAAAGGCAGGATCGCATCTGTATTTCAAAAATATATTTTTCTGGAATACGCTCAAAAGACAGAAGGGAGCAAGCTTAGAGACAGATGAGTCAGAAAGCTGTTAGAGAAGTCAGGTGAGAAATGATGGCAGTGTGAACTCAGCTGCTGAAAGCAGAGCTCAAGAAAAGAAACCGAGAGTCCAAAAATATTTAACATTAACAGGATATTGGGCATTGGGGTGGGAGCAGAAGTAAAAGAAGTGTGACGATGGACTAGGTTTCTGTCCTGAACAACTAGGTAAAGGGCGGAATGCAGCAGAAGTAGGTGGCAGGGGAGAGATCAGATGATGAATTCACTTTTAGACACAGTGAATCTGAGACATGGTATCTCAGAGATATCTGAGCAGAGCCATGGTAGGCAGTTGAAAGTGTGTGACTGGAACTCAGGGGAATGGCTGAGGTTGGGCATTCAGATTTGGGAATTAACACACAGAAGTGGCATCAAGGAAACTAAATGGAGAAAGTATTTCAAAGAAAGGATAGTAAACAGTGCGAAATGCTGTAAAAACGTCATGCAAATACAAGATCCGGATTTTGCTAGGCAAATATTTCATAGATCTTGGTGAGGGTAGTTCTGGCGTAGTTGTAGACTGATGAAAACTGGATTTAAATATTCTACTATTTCACAGGGGAAAACTTAAGGTTTTTTGGGGGAGGGGAGTGGGGGGGTGGAGTTTCGCTCTTGTTGCCCAGGCTGGAGCGCAGTGGCGCGATGTCGACTCACTGCAACCTCTGCCTCCCGGGTTCTAGTGATTCTCCTGCCTCAGCCTCCCAAGTAGCTGGGATTACAAGCGCCTGCCACCACGCCCGGCTAATTTTTTTATTTTTAGTAGAGACGGGGGAGTTTCACCATGTTAGCCAGGCTGGTCTTGATCTCCTGACCTCAGGTGATCCACCCACCTCGGCCTCCCGAAGTGCTGGGATTACAGGCCTGAGCCACCACGCCCGGCCCTTAAGCTCTATCTGTATACTAACTCTTCAGAGTTTTCTCTTAAGACATTTTTTTCCTTTAGAGAAAATGCCTTAAGTGAATCCTTATATAATGGTTGCTATAAGATTACTAACCTGACAATAAATAATTTAGATTGTTAAGAACTTTAAGAAGAAAACAAAACACTGACAGAGAAAAAGGGACCATTACCAAGAAGTGAGTTCCATGCATCACGACTATCCTTTTGTATACTTTTGATTGTGTCAAAGAGATCCTGCCATAGAAACCAAAATAGAACACTTGAATACACGTACTGCTGTCTTGGTCAGGAATATGAACAAAGGTTTCATATAGCTGAAGGAGAGAGGCAGGGTGGACAAGTGTTTTGGAAAGGAAATGGAAAAAGAAGGGAAGAGGCAACAAGTGAGAAACTCCTTTTCCATATGATCATCTATGGAAATAAGAACAAACTTCATTCCATAAAAAACAAAGGCAATGAGGTAAAAGGAAACAATGCTGACATTTACTGACCATAATTCTGTAATGGGATCTCGTTGTCATCAGCATGCCACGGTCAATTAGTAGCAAACTAATGAATATTAGCCAAATTTCTTTACCCATTCAGCAAATATTTAAGTGTCTGTTTTAGGTGAGTTGCCCTGTAAGGTGTTATGAGAGATATACAAATACATAAAACATTTTTGAGTCCTCAAAGAAAATACAGCAGGAGCAACTGTATGAAACACAAACACAAGACAGCTTGGGTAGGTAGTACAGATGAAAAGCAGAATTTCAGCAAAAGGAAGAGGATCTCTGGCTGAAGTGATAAGAAAGAAAAGATGCTGTTTTAAAATAAACGGAAGGAAACAGAGAAAATGGAAGAGAGGAGGTGGGTGTTGCATATGAAGAGTGTGAGTGAAGGTAAAGATGTTAATGAATGCCAGGTATGACAGAGGAATAGCACAATGTCTGGTTACATGCATCAGATTCATGCAAGGGACTGCTATGACATCAGGTAGGAAAAGCATTAACAGCATAGGTTATACAAACAGATGATGCAAGAAGAAAACCACCGTATGATCTAGGAATCCCACTACTGGGTATATATCCAAAGGACAGGAAATCAGTATTCACTCTCATGTTTAGTATACTGTTTGCAATAGCCAAGGTACAGAACCAAGTTAAGTGTCCATCGACAGATGAATGGATAAAGAAAATGTGGTACATATACACAACAGAATATTATTCAGCTGTAAAAAATAATGAAATCCTGTTATTTATGGCAAGATGGATGAGCCTAGAGGACACTACGTTAAATGAAATAAACCAAGCACAGAAAGACAACCACCATAAGATCTCACTGATAATGTGGAATCTAAATAAGTTGATTTCACAGAAATAAAGAGTACAACAGTGGTTACTAGAGGCTGGGACAAGGATGGGGAGAAGAGAATGGGGAGAGGTTGGTCAATGGGTAAAGAGTCATAAGAGGAACAAATGTAGTATTCCATCACACCGAAGGGTGACTATAGTTAGCAATAATATATTGTATATTTCAAACTAGCGGGAAGAGAGGATTTTGAATGTTTTCATCATTAAGAAATAATTAACGTTTGAGGTGACAGATATGCTAATTATCCTAATTTGATCATTACACATTGTATACATGTACCAAAATATCACACTGTACTCCATAAATACGTACAACTATGTGTCAATTAAAAATGAAAAAAGTGTATGTGTTATGCTAAAGAGTTTAAGACTCTATTCAGGGGCAATAGGGAGCCAGTGAAGATGTTTGAACAAAGAAGTGATATGACTTAGGCTGTCATTCAGAAAGGCAGTACAAAAGTCTTTAGCTTCATCCAGTCTAATCTCCCTTGTCTGGATTTCAGACTACTCCATGACCCTTAACCAATCTCATTTTCTATTGTTCTTCAAGATAAAGCCTAATTGTGTATCAAGGTTCCACAATCAGAATATGGTTCTTCCTACTTCAAGGCCCCCGGCTCTCAGAACAATCATGGTTTCTGGAATTCCCTCTCTCGCCTATCCACCTTAGTCAAAGTCCATCCTTTAATTCTACTTTCCCAATTCAGCTCTCTCTGCCTACTCTAACCCTCCTTAAAACGCTCTCCTTTGAACCACTATGGGGCTTAGACTCTGCCTTGCTGACTCTATGGTGTCCTGCCCTGTGTTGTTCATTGCTACTGCATGTTGGTCTGATTCTAAGCAAATAATAATTGCCTTAAAGGCAACAGCCATTTCTTAAATTTCTCCAGAGTGCCAAAAATGGTATGATACATCCAAGGTGAGATGAATAACTAATAATGTCTTCGTTTACCACCACAATCACAACCCTAAGACTTCCAATGGCTGACCAAATTTAGTTATTAAACAAGGAGAGAAAATAATTTTGTCTGAAGTAGTTTCTGTATTAGAAGAATACTCCTGGCCAGACACAAAAACTCCTGCTCAAAATAACCACAACCCAAGGAAAATATGAATCCCACATAAAATAAAAATGTATTACTTTAGGAAATTACTTGACTTCTTATTTTTCTCTTCAAAAAAAGAATAGCTCTAGCACAGTCACACAGTCAGACAAGCCAAAAAATGACTCAGCTTCCCATGGAAGACTTCCCTCATCCCTCCAGGCAAATATACACCATTGTACAGTCATGCGCTCCAAAAAATGCAGAGGTACAACTTGCTCTTTTTATCAATTGTCCAAAAAAACAAAGCAAAGGGGAAAAGAAAGAAGTTCTTCATGAAAAAGCCTATTTGTCAACACTACTGCCAGGTTAATTTTGGCATTCACTCATATTCAAAGCAATAAACTTGCTTCTGTTCATTCAGAGACTATTATCTGGAGCTTGTATTTTGAGAATTTTACTTAACTAGAACACATATTTTAATGTTCTGGAAATTTTTAAGAAAGTACAATGTAACTGTTTACCTTAGATTACACTGTGAACATTTGCTTTGGAAGGGTTATCACAAAAATATGTTTAAAGAGTGGAGAATGCTCCTTTACTTAAATACATACTAGCAGAGATGTCTCATACAGGAAACATCAAAGGAAATGAAGGGACAAATGAGTAGCTTAGTGACTCTATTAAGCTAGCATCGTGGTTAAAAGCATGAACTCTGGAGCTAGGCTGCCTTACGCAAGTTTTAAAACCTTTCTGTTCCTCAGTTTCTCACCTACAAAATGGGGATAAAAATAAAGGCAAATGGTTAAAAAAAAAGGTGTGAGCAATAAATGAATTAATGTATGTTACATTTTTGTCTTATTTTTTAAAAGGAGGTATTTAAGTCAGCCTACAAGGGTGCATATAAAATAAAACCAAGTAACTATGGTAAATTCTGACTCAAGTCAGAATGGAAAGAACAAAACACTTTTCCTTTCAATCAGACTACCATATCCCCTCTGGATCTATTTTGTACCATGACAAAGGAAAGCAGAGGGAAAAGTGAAGTCTTCTGATTATCTGATAACTGGAGAAGGTAGGGAGCTACCTCAAAAACTAAGAATAAAGGAACTACTAAGTATCTGAAGCTGTTTTACAAAGAAGTACTTCTTTAAAAGCCAAGATAGAACTAGGAACACAGATGGAAGAGTTAAGTCTCAAAAAAAAAAAAAGAAAAAAAGAAAAAAGCCTCTTCATCTGAGGCAAAGGGAAAGAAGAAACGACAGATATTTATAGATTTTTCCTGGCCAATCCCCAAGTGCCTAATTTGGATTGAACTTAAAATGTCCCCGAAACAATCCCCACCCAGAAGGCTGAAATACTAGTGTGACCCATTGGGGTAAAGAGCATCTAGCTCTGAGAGGTGATCCTGGGAAAGAAGCCTTGCACCATGACCACTTCTCTGGCCTTTTCTCTCACCTTTCCTTGCAAGATTCTTCTACTTCAGTCACACAAGTCAACTTACTGTTCTCAGATTATTTTACACCTGGCTGCCTCCATGTCCTTGACCCTGCCATGATGTTCTTCCCAGTCTAGGCAAAACCGGAAAAGTCTTTAAGATCTCTTCAACTGTAGTCACCCCCATGATGCCTCCACCAAACACCTCAGTCAAAAAACTGGCCTATCTTGCCTCTGACTCCATTAGAACTGTGTTAGCACTCATCCATCAATTATCACAGTTAAGTAGGGGCCTGTTGTACAAGTCTCGTGGAACAAGACATCTCCTGTTTCTTTGGATTTCTTAGCATTCAACAAATGGCTTCTGTGTAAATAAATATGCATATCTGAAAAGGATCTTTCAGGTAAAGGAACCTATGCTCAAGGGTAAATCAAACCTAGGCTGGGCACTGTGGCTCATGCCTGTAATCCCAGCACTTTGGGAGGCTGAGGTGGGCGGACCACCTGAGGTCAGGTGTTCAAGACTAGCCTGGCCAACATGGTGAAACCCCTTCTCTACTAAAAATACAAAAATCAGCTGGGCGTGGTGGTGGGTACTTGTAATCCCAACAACTCAGGAGGCTGAGGCAGGAGAATTGTTTGAACCCTAGAGGCGGAGGTTGCAGTGAGCCAAGATCATGCCACTGCACTCCAGCCTGGGTGACAGAGCAAGACTACATCTCAACAAAAAAAAAAAAAAAAAAAAAAAAAAGTAGATCAAACCAGTGCAGAAAATCTAGATTCAGAAGCTCCTTTATTTAAAAATGTAAAATAAACCACAAATATCTGACACACAGATATGCACTAAAGGGCATCCACTCTGCCCACTACAAACAAATGGTACTAGTAGTTAGACCTTATAAATACATGAGATCTATCAGAAATTTATCATTAAATGGAGGATATTCTGTCTACCCTTAATGCTGTTTTAAAAATTTTAATCCACTTTATTGAGGCATGACAGAAATACAAAAAGTTATGTATATTTAAAGTACACAACTTGATAAGCTTGAAGACTGAATGCTTTTTTAAAATATAAATGGAAGTTTGGGTGGGTTCCATAAAATTATCCATCCTTGAGATATGTCTAAATACATATTGATTTTTATATTATTTGTTCACAATTATTTATAAGCTTATATCCCAGTACCTTTTTAAAACAATTTTATTTTAAGTTCCGGGCTACATGTGCATGACTCGGGAGGTTTGTTACATAGGTAAACATGTGCCATGTTTGTTTGCTGCACCTATCAATCCATCAACCCAGGTATTAAGCCCAGCAATGCATCAGCTATTTATCCTGATGCTTTCCCACCTCCCACCTCACCCCACAACAGGCCCCAGTGTGTGTTGTTTCCCTCCCTGCATCCACATGTTCTCATTGTTCAGCTCCCCCTTATAAGTGAGAACATGCAGTGTTTGGTTTTCTGTTCCTGTGTTAGTTTGCTGAGGATAATGGCTTCCAGCTCCATCCATGTCCCTGCAAAAGACCCTTTCTAAGTGTGCAAATATCTCCCTCTGGAATTTATATGAATGTTCTACAATTGTTCCCAGTGAAACTTTTAAATATCCTCTCCACAAAATGGTAAATTATTCGAGACGAAGTTTCATGAAAGCATTCTGATAATTTCTCAAAAAATAACGGGATGTATGTGTGTGTTTAATGGCTCAGAAGCCCTGCAAAGCGCTGACTGTCGGGAATAGTTTATCTAGGAAATTAGGTAATCCATGGGGATTAAGAGCATAAATTATTACCAGGGGCACCCATGAGCTCTTAGTGCAGCACTGAGCAGGAAACATGTAAGTTGTCCCTCCAACTAGCCATCTATAGATTATTAACATCTCTCTTCTGACTGCCCTATGAAGATGTTACAGTAAACATCAGTGGTATTCAAGAGCTTAGCATATGGTTTATTGTTAAGAAGAACTTCCCAAATCTTCCTAATCTTTCTTTCATATAAGTAGGGTTTTCCTGGGTCTGAATTCTAATGGCTCTATGCATCTAACTCTCATTCTGATGAACCTAAAGAAGCTTTGAAGGCTGGGTGCAGCAGTTCATGCCTGTAATCCCAGCATTTTGGGAGGCCGAGGTGGGTGGATCACCTGAGGTCAGGAGTTCAAGAACAGCCTGACCAACATGGTGAAACCTCATCTCTACTAAAAATACAAAAATTAGCTGGGAGTGGTGGCAGGTGCCTGTAATCCTAGCTACTTGGGAGGCTGAGGCAGGAGAATTGCTTGAACCCGGGAGGCAGAGGTTGCAATGAGCCGAGATTGCAGCATTGCACTCCAGCCTGAGCAACAGAGCGAGGCTCCAACTTAAAAAAAAAAAAAAAGCAGCAGCAGCAGCAGCTTTTGATTGGTTCCATTTCATTACTGAGTCAATTATCCAAATTCTATACAGACAGAAAGATGAATCACCTCTCTTGGTTCAGTCCTAAATACTCATTTTAATGGGTTATCAATGAGGACCTTCCTATTCTTCACCTAATTTTTAGCTGCAACTCCTGCCACAGTGATTAAATCAGCTTTTCAACCTCAACTTACAAAACTTAAATCTTCAAATGTATTTATTATGTAAATAGGAAATAGTTATTTTTTTTAAAGTGACCTATTTAAGGTTGTCAGTGCCCTGAAGGAGAGAAAATAATAAATGAAGTAAATACTGTATCCCCTTATGTAGAGCTCGCTGAAGCAATACTTAACAAAAAACTGTCAACTAACTAGATATCAACCTTGCTGAAGTTCTTCCTGTGTCCCTTTTTCTTTTGAGACACTCAACACACATCAGACATTATAAATGTCTGCCATGTGTGAGAAATGTGACAAGTCACTGTGCATGAAAACATGGCTGAAGCAGAGTCACTGGCAGGAGGCGGCAGAGCTCCCAGTGCAGTACTTAGTGAGGCACATGAGATACACTGCAATTCCACTGGGTCTGTTCCAGTGTGGGGAAGGAGAAGAGTATAACAGGAGGCCTGAGAGAGCGAAGAGGACACCACAGGTAACACTGCACATCAGGGAAGGGCTTTAAAGAAGGAAAGGGTACCCATGTTGACTCCAGAGATGCATTTCAGGCACAGAATACATTGAGTGAATACAACAATAAATTTCAAATAATAAGGGGATTCTGGCGAGGCTGGCAGCTGGACTGTGGGGTGAAAAAGTATAGCTGATGGGACTGTACAAGTAATCTTCAGAGACAGACTGTAAAGTCCATGTATGCCACATCACAAAGTTTAAAAACCAAGGAGCTATTTAATTTACTTTGAGCAAGAATCTGCAACATGGGCTAGACAAAGTGGTTCTCAAAGTGCGGTCTGCAAAACCTTGAGGAGACCTTTTCAGGGTGTCTGTGTGATCAAAACTATTTTCATAGTAATGGTAAGATGTTACTTGCCTTTTTACTGTGTTGACATCTGCACTGATGGTGCCTTAGCACAAACCAAGGCATTGGTGCCAGAATGAATCAGGAGTCATTATAGTCTTCACTGCCATACTCTGAGTACACACCTTTTTAAAATTCTGTGTGACAAAATGGGAAGCAAACACATAATACTTCTGTGTATGTGATGTGATGCCTGTCTTGAGAAAAATCACTTGTACAGTTATTTTATGTTGTGAGCTAAACTGCTTTTTTCAGGAAACAACACTTTACTTAAAAGAATGACTGACAAATAATGGTTATTCAGAACTTGGGGTTATTTTCTTAGAACCTGCTTCTCAAGGGAAACAACTGACAGTATTTATAGTTGATAAAATTCAGACTTCAAATGAAAATGAAAATTCTGGAAAGCCTGTAGTCGTCACTATGAGTTTGCCAGTTAACAAATACTTAAAGACATTTCTGATGAGACTAGTAGTAACATTAACAAATTTGAGTTTCTGATATTGTAGAATGAAACATTCAACATTTGGAAGAGTTGTATTACTCAGTGAATCAATATTTTCCAAATGACCAATGTAGGATTTTACAAAATTATGCATGAGTAAAAGATTCATTGAAAGTATGATAGGCTGGGTGCAGTGGCTCACGCCTGTAATCCCAGCACTTTGGGAAGCTGAGGCGGGCGGATCACTAGGTCAGGAGTTCAAGACCAGGCTGGCCAACATGGTGAAATCCTGTCTCTACTAAAAATACAAAAATTATCCAGGTGTGGTGGTGCACATCTGTAATCCCAGTTACTGGGGAGGCTGAGGCAGGAGGAGAATCACTTGAATCCAGAAGGTGGGGGTGGCAGTGAGCCAAGACTGCACCACTGCACTCCAGCCTGGGTGACAGAGCAAGACTCCGTTTCAAAAAAATATATATATATGAGATAGACCAGACCCAGCACAATGGCTCACATCAGTAATCACAGCACTCTGGGAGGCTGAGGCGGGAGGATCACCTGAGATCAGGAGTTCAAGACCAGCCTGGCCAACATGGAGAAACCCCATCTCTATTAAAAATACAAAAATTAGCTGGGCATGGTGACGCACGCCTGTAATCTCAGCTACTTGGGAGGCTGAGGCACAAGAATGCCTTGAACCTGGGTGGTAGAGGTTGCAGTGGGCCGAGATTGTGCCACCGCACTCCAGCCTGGATGACAGAGTGAGACAGAGTACAAAAAGTTCAATGATACGATTTCAGATTGCATACCGAAAGTAGCTTTTAAGAACCTACTGTTTGTCAATTCTGATCTAGTATCAAAGAATATCACAATTATTTGAGAAAACTATTAAGGTAGTTCTCCCTTTTCTAAGCATATACCTGTATTTGCTTAATTTTCTTTATATACTTCAACTAAAACAATATATTGCAATAGGCTTAATGCATGAAAGATGTAAGAATCCAAATATTTTATATTAAGTCAGAAATTAAAACAATACCACTCCTCTAAATTTTTTTGTAGAAAAGTAATTTTTTGTAGAAAAAATATCTTTATAAAAATATAATTTTAATAATGATTAGTTTATTGTAGTAAATGAATTAATAAACATTTTTTAAATTTCTCAGTTTTAACTTCTAATACAGTAAACATTTCTAGATATAACCTATATAAACAAAAGCTCTTTGGGGCTCTTAATTTTTAAAAATGTGAAGAGATCTTAAGACCAAAGAGTTTGAGAACTGATGGGTTATAAGGAATACAAGAATAGCTGGAAGAAAAACACACACACACACACACACACACACACACACACACACACAAAGAATTCAGGTGAGAGAAGATGAGAGTATGAGTTCCCTAAATTGGCAGTTTAATGTGATAAGTTAAATTTACTGTCTCAGAGAAAAAAAGCTTTTCTTATTTTGGGGGAAAAGGATAGAATCTTGGGTGAGAGCTTTCTAACTTAACAGACTATATGAAAGCTAATGCCTTTAGTTATATGTGAGATTAGGTCTAAACAATTTCATAACATTATGAATGATGCTGGTGAATTAAGAGTAATTACAGCAAGAACAATAAACAGAGATGGTTTTCTGAAGGGCAAATAAAATTATTTAGGAAAAGACTTTTGATGACCTATGTGCTAATGAAGTTAACTGAAAGGTACTTCCTAAGGGACTATATGGCTGAATAAGTCTCATTGCATTTTTGAAAGACCAGGGCAAATGGTAAACTGACATGAGTAACTCTTTTTAATGCAAGTTCCTGAATTATTACTCGGATTAGTGCCCATTAATGTACATTTTAATACATAATAGTAATAGATACCCTCATAACAATAATTCTGAGCCATCAAGGATAAATTTTGCTCAGCATTTAAGAAGTCAGCCAAGTACATGGATATTTTAGAAATATAGTGTAGCAAAGGTGTCAAAGTAGAAGATCTGGCACGTAAGGCTTTACCTCCAGCTATCTGACTGCCATTCCAAAAAGATTAACTTGTCACAGGTTCTACAGTGGAAATGTTCCAATAATTGTAAGAGGGTCTTCCCACTCCTGGGGAAAGTGATATTAGGAAGAGCCACAGACACAATGCTAAGGAATGGAAGGTAAAAACGTGGCAGAAGAATTTTATCTCCCTGACAAAGACAAGTTGTTTCTTCAGCTCAGTTATTCATTGTGGTCATCAGGACATAAATGCTTTTTGGGGCTGGGTAGGGGAATATATTCCTTTAAAAGGCTATCTTGTTAAATTTAAAATTAATGTCATGCATTTGTTAAATCTTTTAATTACTATTTGTTTATTAAAAAGAATTTCCTAAAGGAACATTTGTGTTGTGAAAATGGATGTCAATATTTAAAGTCCTGTCTACTACATTAAAAATGGCCCAGCAGTGCCTCTACTTAGCAGCAGCTGTTGAAATTTCCTCCAAGTAATTGTGTATATCTAAAAGTAAAAGCCTGCTTTTAAAAATATTTAACAATTCGTACTTTTAATTTATTTAGATTTGTGCTATTATCTTCCACCATTAGACTAAACTAGTTGGTTATGTGATAAAACGCTTTTCAGAGGAAGAATAGTAAGCTAGCCTTTTTTTTTTTTTTTTTTTAAATCTAAGCTATTCCCATCTTCCCCATTCTATGCTGGGGTGATACACCACAAGAAGTTACAGGAACAACTGCTAAAAGAATTAAACATCTTGGGCCTTTACACAGCTGTTGCCATATCATGGCTTTGGTGCATGGTCGGTCACAGATGCTGTCAAGAGGCTTATGTTTAGTTATCCTTTTGCTTCCCCAACCCCCACATTAAAGGTCTCCTTCACCTTCTCTGTCCTTTTTGCTACCTCCCTTCTTCCTGCTCCAAGCTCCCACAAACCAGCCTTAATAAAAGAGGAAGGATCAAGGCAACACTCCACATCAGTCATATTTCAGGGCAGCTTGATGTTTGTTTGCTAATAGATGGTTGGTATTATCTAACCAATAGGGTGACTCCAAGTTTTAAAAAACAGCAAGACTAATTCAGAAATAATATTATTTCTTAATTTTTTTAAAAATAGAGATGGGGTCTCACTTTGTTGCCTAGGCTGGTCTTGAATGCCTAGGCTCAAGCAATCCTCCCACCTTGGCCTCCCAAAGTGCTAGGATTACAGGCATGAACCACCTCACCCAGCCCAGAGATAATATTCATAAAAGGTATGCATTATTTTGTTTTTATTTAACCCCTCTTCCTTCCCAAAGAGTTATGCCAAGAAACAGACAAATGGCAGTATAAGTTCCCATTAGGAATAAAACAAAGAAAACTTGGCATTGTTAGGCACTGATGAGCTTCCCACCTCCCCCCTTCTGGGACAGCTAGAAGCACAGTAGCTCCCCAAGATGAGACCAAAACCAGTGAGTAGGTAGAGATACACGGTAACTCTGACACCCAGGAGCAAATGTCAATCACCTGAATTCACTACTGCCAGAATCACTTAAGACCCTCCAGTGGCTACAAAGAAACCTGTGGGGCTATGACGGGTGGGATGTGCCAATGACAAATTCTATTCTTTTTCAAATCCTACAGAACACAGTCTTTCGATTTAAAAGCAAACCTAAGAGCACTTGTCCACATTATATTATATGCTAATCTTCAAACAATATTTCTTCTCACAGCTTGCAGGTACTCCTTTTAATGCGTTCAGCTGCAACAGCCACTGCAGGAAAGTTCCATGTCAGGAAAGCCAGGATTTAAATCCTTTTCCTCACTCAAGGAGGAAAGAGCAGGCTCAGACAAGGGAAAAACAATCCACTGAGCTTGATGTGAAGCAGATACAGCACCAGATTTCAGCACTAATGAAGGAAGAGGGCCAGAGCTCTATTTCCCTCCTTTCCATCATCCCATTAGGGAAACCTAATGACTCCTGGGAAGGAACATAGCCTATTGTGTTGACTACGAGGGTAATAGGGACAGGAACTGTTTCATAGCAAAACAATCATGATACACGCATCACTTTCTGGAACTGGAATGAAAAGTCTGACCCCCTATTTTAAGGCAAGCAATGCTGTCAACAGGGAAAATCCTTTGAGTGAAACATTTCAGCAGAATTCCACTTAATGCCTGATGTTACAATGCTACTAGAAGGGAACAGTAGAAGGGACAGTGGTGTAGATAGGCCTAAACAATGGAAAATTCCTTCTCTGAGTTCCCACGACCCAGGTGTCAACTCCTGGTTCATTTCTTTGTTTCTCCCAATAGAGCTTCTTGAGGGATGAAATCTGTCTTATTTTACCCACCATGGCATCCCTGGTTTCTATTACAACGTTCAGCATACAAAATAGTACATATTTGCAGATTAAAGGCTCAATTTTGCTTTGGAAATGCACAAGAGTAACATCTCCTGGAAGAAGGGACTATGTTCCAACAGCATAATTTACCGTTGGAATCTTTGCTACAAATGTTTAAAGTAAGGGATTCGTGCATGGACATATGTTTTTTCCATGCCTCTCCCGCTGACAAGTCAGTCTGTGGCTTCCCACAGTTTCTGGCTTTCACGGGGTGGAATGAGAGAAAAAATTCCTGAGCCTCTTAGAGAAAATGTCCTGTTGCCCACAAAGTAGAGACTGCACACTACACAGGCTCTGATGCTTCTCATCATGCATCCTCTCCAGAATGGACCAGGCCTAGGCCCAATTGCAAGAGGCCTGTGGGTGGCTGAGGTGGTACCCCTTGGTTCTTCTCTAGCCCAGCATGGCAGGGGGAGTCCAAACCAACCCATTGTCTTCAGGCCCCTTGATTCAAGGGAAAAAATAAACACAACAAATTTTTGGTAGCAAAACAAGGAGGAAGAATGACAAAGAAAGAAATTAATGATGTCAAAAATAAAACTGAACATACGACATTTTCCTTGAGTTATTATTTTCATAGAAACCAAAAGATAAAGAATATTGGAAAGGGGATCTTACAATTCTGCTTTTCCCAGAGCGACCAGGATCTTACCCTAAGGAAGAACATGACAAGCAGAAGGCTCTTCCATTTTTCACATCATTCATCTGCTGTCAGAAAACGCTGGAATTACACAAACCTGGATTTCACAGTGATTCATGCAGGCTTACTGGGTTGGTAGGTAACAATTTTCACTAAATTTCAAGGAAGGTAACACACAACAAGCACACCCAAAAATAAAGATGCCATGCTCAGGAAAGGAGAAGGCAACAGGAAGTGGGAATCCTCAGTCTACCCAGATCACCCTATACCGTGATCTGCCCATGGCCCAGCCACAAGCCTCCAAGTATCTGTATCAGAAGGCAATTTGCTAAAAGGAAGTACTGCAGAGTCACCAGTGCAGCAGATGCACACAGCTCATCAACCACAACAAAGGGATCAAGCGTACACATTCAGCTGTATCCTTCCCATAATTTTTCTTAATGTATGGGGAGTAAGGATTAAAGGATTTCATAAAGTAGAGGAAAGTCACTGACCAGTAAAGATGGTCCTATTTAAGAATTTCCTATTTAAGAATCTCCAGCAGAAACACTGGAGAGGTTTCCAGTGTGCCTCTGGCTTACCATGTGACACTGAGGAGCTTACTTCAGTGACAGGTGATGTCTAAGACAGAGGTGGGCAAGGAGAGGCTCCTGGGCATCACAAATGATGGCAGGCCCTTTGAGCATGCTAGCTCTTTGGGGACTCCAGTTCCTTTCTTGCAAATTAAAGGGCACAAGCCTCATGCTCACTAAAATTCCTCCCTAAACTAATATTCTATAATGAGAACAATTATTTTTGGAAGATTTTGGATTCCCATAGTTATAGAATCTGGAGTATAAATAGAAAAGACCTCTAAATGGTTCCATTACAAATTTTTTGATCACATGCTGTTTTTACATAAATCAAAAGGGAACAGGACATCTCCAGTTCAAGTATGTTTTTCTACTAATCTATCTTTCTTCAAGGGGATTCCAAGCAATAAAATAATTCATAATTTTTAACTACTTAGCCTCTCCACCATGTTTTTTTTCTGCCTCAGAGAAGGGGTTCAGCAAAAACTTCCCAGATGTGCCACTCCCAAGGTACTTCATACTCTACACAGTAAAAGAAACATACACATACACACGTATCTCACATAAATGAAAGCGCCAAGCCAAATTTATCCTTTCAAATACGTATTTAACCATAAAGGCCAACTGTGAAGCTATACAATTTACCCCAATTATTCCTATTATAATTAGTTCAAACTGTTAGAGAAATCTTTTGCAACCATCTTCAGTACAAACACTGAAATCACATGTGAAAAGTCTGACTCGTTTTTATACCTCCATAACCCCAAATTCCAACCCCAGAGTGACTAGGTTTTTTATTTTATTTTGAGACAGGGTCTCATTCTGTTGCCCAGACTAGGGTGCAGTGGCATAATCATGGGTCACCGCAGCCTCCACCTCCCCAGGCTCAGATGATCCTCCCACCTCAGCCTCCCAAGGAGCATGCCACCACGCCTGGCTAATTTTTGTAGTTTTGGTAGAGACAGGGTTTTGCCCAGGCTGGTTGCGAACTCCTAGGCTCAAGCAATACACCTGCTTCGATCTCCCAAAGTGCCAGGATTATAGTTGTGAGTCACTACACCCAGCAACTATGCTTTCAAAACTCTTAAATATATATATGAATACTAATGACTCAGTCAGGAGCAAATGCCAACTACAGAAAAAGAAGATCAATACAATAAACATTTTGGCTTACTCTGACTTCTGAGTTAGGTTTAAACTTAGATATTTTAAATGTGCTCATAAGAGTATTCTCTGCCCTGAACTTTATGAAAGGCATTTTCACCATCAACTAACTTTCTTTGAAGACTTCATATGTACACTTAAGACACTGTCCCAGTTGCTCAGGTCCACAGCAGTGATAGGGTTTTGGGTGTCCTCAGAATGGAAGCAAAATGTCTACATCACTGTATGAAATGAAAGAGGCAGGAAGGGAGAACACACACTTTCAATGGCTGAATGGAAATATTTAAACAGAAATACTACTTGTTTCAATTTCCACATGGTTCATATACTACTGAATACTTCCATTTTTCATATTCTGTGGTAAATTTTATGTTTTTCAGTCCTAATGAAATTTCTTTTTTTAACCTGGATTACTGCCAGATCAGTTACCTTGCAAACTGATGTGTCTCTGGCAATCCTTAGGCAATTCTATGATCTTCGAAGGGCTGAGCGTATTGTGAAAGTAAAAAAATAACTACAAGGCTGGAAAGCATATCAATGGCTCCCTGAAGCTATCCCTGTTCTTGCCAATAGACTATTGATACCACCTGTGGTACAACATGGGTCTCACCAAGGAAACACCATTACGTTTCAGACAGGCACTTTTCAAGAAGTATTCCTCTCTCTGATCTCCTATAGCACATTAATGGTATCTGATAACATGTCTCATATACTGCATTCATGTATTGTGATTATATCTGTATATGTTTGCTTTTTTAAATTTAACTAGATTCTAGGTATGCTGAGGGCAAAAAGGATACCTAACTTTCAAAAATTATCTGGTATTTGGCAGGGTGCAGTGGCTCATGCCTGTATTCCCAGCACTTTGGGAGGCTGAGGTGGGAGGGTCACTGAGTCCAGGAGTTTGAGACCAGCCTGGGCAACATTGTGGAGACCGTGTCTCTACAAAAATTTAAAAATTAGCTAGGTGTGGTGGCTCGCACCTGTGGTCTCAGCTATTCTGGAGGCTGAGGTGGGAGTATCACTTGAGCCCAGGAAGTTGAGGCTGCAGTGAGCTATGATCACGCCACTGCACTCCAACCTGGGCAACAAAGTGAGACCCTATCTCTACAAAACAAAAACAAAAACAAAAAAAACCCTCCAAATTTGATGCAATAATTTGTCCAGGGAAAAATAATCATTTAATGTTTACTAAATGAATAAATGAATGAAATTAAAGCCACAGGCTAATATCACAAAATTGAGCAGCCTAGGAGACTAGAAACATCTGAAATTGGTGACCCTGAAACTTTTTCTGGATAAAGTAGACAACTCCATATATAGTGGACAACTCCGTAAATAGTGTACACATTTACTCTTCTGGTGGTCAACTAGCGACATATCACTAGACTCTTGTTAAAATCCACAATCAAAACCTAATATGGAATATCTAAAACTGCCTAAATTGTAGGTACCCAGGTAGATCCCTGAGGTGGACCTAGGCCTTTCTCAAAGATCAAATGACATCTCTCTTTTAATTTTCTACTATGGAAACTTTCTCTTTTACAGGCAAAAACAAGCAGCTCTAAGTCATATTTATATCAGTAAGCAACACAGAACTTAGAACTACAAGCAATACATAGTTTTTTCTAAGAGATCACCTATTGGTAGCCCTTCCAAATTTACTGGTAGAAATAATGGCTACGCCCAAGCCTATATTTCTGATACATAATGCATATATCTTCATTCCCACAGTGTAAAAATAATATAATATTCTTTAAAAACTTCCTTAGAAAGGAGAATTTAGCGTCCATTTCACTGAAAGTTATCTTTTCACAAGCACCTATATGTTTACCTGTATTTTAACACTTGAGAATATGTCTGATTTACTGGTTTAATAATTGCCTTTCCTACTAGAATATGAGCCTTTGAATGCAGAGACTCATCTACTTTCATTTCAGCATATCTGAGGCCTAGCACAGAGTTCAATGAACATTTGTTGAACTGAGTACTGAATAAATTAGTACACCCTTGCAGTAAACATAAAGTGACATGGAAAGTTAAATGAGTACCACTGTGGCCTGATATAACTGATAGCTTCTTCCAAGACCATTTAAAAATCATTATCTAAAATCACTCATTCATACTGTCTTAAGATGGGCCTAATAATTCTGAGTTACTTTAAAATGAGATTAGAATTATATCTATTGCATTTAAAATGCCTATTATAGGCTAGAATTTCCTAACTCTAGTTAATACAAACAACCTTTGTAACAGGCATCAATATCCCAAATTTACAAATGAGGAAACAGCCTCTAAATAAATGAATCAAAATTATTCAGCTGGTAGTTGGCAAAACTAGGTTAAAACCCTAATTCACTGGGCTCCATAATCTTTCCCTTATACTTAGCTATTATCATTGGCTGTCAATATAATACGAATGAACAAAAGAGAAATGAGTGTAAGTAGTAGACAGAAAGAGTGGTAAGACTCAGATACAGTTATTTTCACTCAAGAGGGGGTGGCATGAGACACACATCCCCTCTAAAATGCACATATGACCTATGATTCAGCAGTTCTATGAAAGAAAAAAGCAGATTCTAATATAATTGATTTTAATATCCCAGAACAAAACACCTTGGAAAACATTTAAGACAAAAGTGATTAGTTAAGGATTGGGTTAAAGAATGTGTGATTTAAAAAAAAAAAAAAAAATTCCCACATGGTGGCTCACACCTGTAATCCTGCACCTTGGGAGGCCAAGGCAGGAGGATCACTTGTGCCCAGGAGTTCAAGATCTGCAACATAGCAAGACCCTGTCTCAAATTTAAAAAAGAAAAAAAAAATCCCTCATGATTGTCCTTTTGGTCCAAATGTAAGATATCCTCAGTTTTGTTTTTGGTTTTCTGTTTTTTTGTTTTTTTGTTTTTGTTTTGAGATAGAGTCTCATTCTGCCTTCCAGGCTGGAGGGCAGTGGTGCAATCTTGGCTCACTGCAACCTCCACCTCCCAGGTTCAAGCAATTCTCATGCCTCAGCCTCCCAAGTAGCTGGGATTACAGGGGCGCACCACCACGCCCTGCTAATTTTTTTGCATTTTTAGTAGAGATGGGGTTTTGCCATGTTGGCCAGGCTGGTCTCGAACTCCTGGCCTCATGTGATCCACCTGCCTCAGCCTCCCGAAGTGCTGGGATTACAGTATTTTTTAAATTATTCTAATCATTTCATAATCACACACTGGTCAAAAATTAAGAGCTGGAAGAAACTAGAGATTAACCATTACACAAAGGAGAAAACACAGATCAGAGAAATTAAATAACTTGCTTAAGGTCACTTAAAAATGTACAACTAGATCATTAAATTATACCTTTACATACATTATCTATGGGTAGTTTTACACTAAGTTTATAGTTTTGCCACTTGTGACTTTATGGTCTGGGGTTCTCTGAGGTACTTCTTTTCCACAATTGTATTAAAAATTTGTATTAGGAGCCGCTGATAATTTCCTGGAAACTCTCCATTTCAGAGGAGATACAGAGAGTCTCCAAAAAATCTACATGAAAAAAACTGAGAATTAAATTTTGTGTGGTTGATGCTAGCTCTAGCTTTGGACCTATATGGGATAATTTAAGGAGAGCCTGCCTCTCTTACATGCCAAAAATGTATGCAGATAAGACTTTCTGGCAACTCAGAAAGTGGGCAATTTGCCTTTCCCTAGGTGACACACACACCACAAAACTATGTGAATATGATGGCAGAAACATTTTTAAAGGACCTTTTTAAAAACTGACAACTATTAAATAACAGGGTGGGACGTACAAGCCATTTTGAATATCAGCATTATAAGTTGTTGGATTAGTCACCAAATAGCCTAGAGGCTGTCATATTTTCCCACGGCAGCTGAGCATGAAGTCTGTGAACAGCCACACAATACAAAAGCTTTCAACCAAATTCCTAGACTAGGGATGGAAATACAAGTTCGCCCCCTTTAGACAACAGAAAGAAAACAGAGTGTTCCATTAAATATAATAAAAGGACATAGTTCAGGAAGATATTAACAGGCAATATTCTAAGACCAACAATGCCCTTACTACAGTCCTGAAGAAAAAAACATGAATACTGTTGTAAAAATAACTAAGAATGGAAATTCAGTTAATTTGATGTTTGGCTGTATAATTGCCAAAAAAAAAAAAAAAAAAAAAGATCATGGTTCTGATTTTAAATGCTTTCTTGATTGAGGAAGGTATGTTAAATAAAGAGTAGATTTTCCCAGTAGCCTAATACTCAACACATGGGATTTTACAGTTGTCCTTGAACATAGTTGTTCTTGAGTGTTTGACTGTTAGGACCATAGGAGCCCTGACAATATATACTGGTTTGTAGAATTAACTGTTCCATACGGCTAATAAGCTTATGCAAAGAGCATTCAGAAAAGGAACTATTATTGAGATACTTCAATGAACAGATGCCCCAGGGAGAGAAGGTCCTTCCTAATGAACTTGGCCATATCTTGAAGAGAAAAGATCCCTACAACATACGATATTGGTTTGCAGTACTGGGACATACTATGAAGGCGAATGGTGTCAGACGGCCCTCTTTTCTGAACTTTTTCTGAACTTAAGTATTCAATGTCATCTCCTGCTTGCCTCCAGCATCTGGCTCAATATCATATCATTCTTTAGGAAATAAAAGGCAGGTCTAAAAAATCTTCCTAATTTCTGCACCAAAAGCAAGCATTTTGGAGAAACATCATCTTAGTGGTATTTAGTTGCAGCTAAACAGATTATAGTAAGAACATGAGACTTAAAGTATATCAGCTTACATCTTAAAATGGCTAAAGGAGTTTCTCCAACTATTACCAAAAGCATGAAAGTATAATGCAATGGCTTTAGAATTTTAGCATGCATTAAGTATCATTCAGGGATGCTTGTTTAAAACGCAAAAACCCATCCTAAACCAAGTGGATGGGACTTCCCAAGTGTACCCTCAGATGATTCTTCAGGAAATAGTATAATGGGAAAAATTATTCACATAGAAATTGGGTTCTAGTCCAGCTGACAGTTAACTAGCTGTGAAACAAGGTAAGTCATTTAACTATCCTGAATCCATTTCTTCTCTTATAAAGCAAAGGTGCTGGACTTCAGAAAATCTTTAAGGTTCTTTCAAATTGTAACGGTCTCAGAAGCAAAACAAGTTCCATGTCTTTCAATTTCAAATTAATGTAAGAAACTATTCCTGAAGCTTTTATAACATGTTCAAGAAGCAGTAACTGAGTCTGAACCACCATATTCCACTAGTTACTAAAATAAGTGAATAGCATATTGTAATCTGAAGTTACTAAACTAATAATAATACTAAGCTGTACTTATTTTGTGCCAGGCTCTGATCTAAGTACTTGATATATATTAACTCACTAAGGAAAAAAAGATGACAACGAAAGGTAATCTGAATACCTTCAAACCAGTAAAGCATACAGGTGGAGGTAATGATGAATATTAAATTGCAATGGGCATTAAAACTTTGGCTAAAATAAAATGATAAAATGATTAATGGGAATAAACCACAATATGTGTAAAGTAATAACTTTGCCTCAAAAATTGTGAACATTTTCACCCCAATAAAGAAATATCAGTAAAGACTATCAAGAAATCTGCAGCATTTAACACATACCTGTGTTTTCTCTGAGAATATAAGTAAACGAATGCAGATACTGTCTAATTCCTTCATGAACTATGATTTTCAGCACTGGACCTTTAAAGTAAGGATTTATTTACAATACATGTGTCAAACAGGTTAAGGAATGAAAAATTACTCCTCAGTTTGTATGACAGATAGCAGACTAAAGGACTAAAGAAAACAAGAACTCAGCTGTAGCTTTTTTCTTTAAATCCTTGGTAGTGCCACTCGACAGAGGTTCTTATGCTCTGACCATTACACGTTTAGAGAATGTTACAAAACTTCCATAAGAATTTAAATGGATTATTTACATTTATTAGAAAACTGCCATAAATTTACCATACTACTGGTTTTGAAGCCGGTAGCAAAGCATAAGATACAGGAATTTGTTCTATTTTACATTTGGAGAGGATGATTCAATGATTCAATGAAGCAATGACTGGCCTATTCCCAAGGCACACACATAGACGGGGTATGTGGCAGAAAGATCAGGTTAAATATTACACAAATGCCACTCCTCCCTCAAATATAATCATAGACTCTAACCCTTTTCAGCATGAAAACAGACTCTAGAAGGTTAAAGCTAGAGAATGATTAGAGACAAGGAAACTGAGCCCTAGAGAGGCTGTCAAAAAGCTATTCAGGAAAGACAGAACTTGATCCCACTCCCAACCTGTAGTTTAAAAACCAGAGGTTTCACCACAAAACAATTTAAGAAATCTGCTTGCTTCTTTTTTCTTTTCTTCCACTGGTGCACAAGTATTTATTAGGCAGGGGCTCACATGCTATTGCCAGTGGGATATTAACTCTTTTTTACAGCCCATGAAAAAAAATTAAGAGTAGGCTTTTTTTTTTTTTTTTTCAAGACAGAGTGTTACTCTGTCGCCCAGGCTGGAGTGCAGTGGTGCGATCTCGGCTCACTGCAACCTCCCGGGTCAAGCAATTTCTGGCTAACTCTTGTATTTTTTTTTTTTTTTTTAGTGGAGACAAGGTTTCCCCATGTTAGCCAGGCTGGTCACGAACTCCTGACCTCAAGTGATCCGCCTGCCTCAGCCTCCCAAAGTGGCAGAATTACAGGCATGAGCCGCTGTGCCCGGCTGAGATTTTACATTTTTTTAATGGCTGGAAACATAATTCAAAACAATAATATTTCACGACACATGACCATCACATGAAATTCAAATTTCAGTGTCCATAATAAAGTTGTATTGAAGCACAGTGACACTCCTTTGTTTACATACTAGCTACAGACACTTTCATACTCACAGCAAAGCTTACTAGTTTTAAGAGACCATATGTCCCACAAAGCATTTACAAAATCTGTCCTTTACAAAATGTTTGCCGACCTCTGCTCTCTTTCCCCATCCAGTGAAAACCTATATGAATATAGTATGTGAAGAGTTAAATGGGAAAAATTAAAGTGTGTGTCTGTTTTATCCTTTCAACTCACAGCAAATAAGGCAAGTTTGTCAGAGCACCACGGAGAAGAGTTAAGTAGTCAGATTTCACATCATTATAAGAATGCTGTGAACACAAAAACTTCCTGAATTTAGGCCTGCAAATCCTCAAGAACTGAAAATCCCACTGACATATGCTTTCCCCAACTCTACACGGTGGAAGCAAACACAAAGCATAAGGCATTGATATCTCGCAGCTAGAGATAAATTACATGGTTCTCAGGCTTCTTATAGCAACTTTACCAATCAGAGCCCAGGTTTCTTGAGTCAAGGAGGAATCGCCCTGTTGTGTAAGTCCCAGATTAGAAATCAAACCTCAAACTCTTCCAGCTGCCTTTGGCCTCAAGCTAGTCATGTGACTCTCCAAGGGTCTATTCTTTTATCTGTAAATTGAGGTATGCTGACCAACCAGAGGAATATTCACTCTCTCAACTCTTAAAACTAGAGAAAAAAGGAGAAGAGGAAAGGGACTGAGAGAGGAGACCTTTTCTTTTCTTTAAGTCATGTTTTGTTTTCTTCTTTATAGTAGACAAGATACCATTAGAATAGAGATATCCCTCATCAGAAAGCAAAGGGTCTAGAGCCAAGTACCAGCCTGGATTCAATGACTCTAATCACTACAATATTAAAATGGAGTACTAAGAAACAGAGGTATTTGAATTCAAGGATGTGAGTTTTTTCCTTCCCTTTCTAAGGGGCTTCTGGAAACAAAGACACACGTACCCATGCAGGGTGTGTTCTCTTTTCTTCTCACAGGGGTAAAAGCAACATTTGTCTGAATAATGCCTGCTTTACAAGTAGCCACCCAGGCATTAGTCATGAATATTATGTGTAATAAGGGCGGGTTAGAACAGTCAGCACCTTCATACCACAGTACTCCAATACAACAAGGTTTGTTCATCACTGTTCATACTCTTGAAACAATCTGGGATAGTCTGTTCCATTTACCTACCGTGAAATTTCAAAAAAACATACCACTTAGTCCTCTGAAGAGTAAAAACAGTGCAATGTCAAGTGTAGCCCAAGGAACATGGACTTTCAAAGGGGCAGCATGAGTAAGTTCACTAACTTGATTTTCAGCTTTCTAATTTTTTTTTTTTGACCACCATGGAATCTAAAGCATAGGGCACTGTTTCTCTCAACAAGTTTGTTTTAAAAGTTAATAGCTGGCTGGGTGCACAGGCTCACGCCTGTACTTCCAGCACTTTGGGAGGCCAAGGCGGGTGGATCACTTGAAATAAGAAGTTTGAGACCAGCCTGGCCAATATGGCAAAACCCCATCTCTACTAAAAACACAAAAAAGTAGCCGGGCGTGGTGACGAGTCCCTGTAATCCCAGCTACTCGGGAGGCTGAGACAAGAGAATCGCTTCAACCCAGGAGGTGGAGGTTGCAATGAGCCAAGATCCTGCCATTGTACTCCAGCCTGGGTGACAGTAAGACTTCATCTCAAAAAAATAAAAAATAAAATAAAATAAAAGTTAATAGCTTTAAACAAAGAAAAATAATCTCAAGACCTTGAAGAAAAATATTTTTGAAGCCAAATAAATGGAAATTACCATATGACCCAGCAACTCCACTAGGTATATAAAAACATGTCCACATAATTTTGTACACAAATGTACATAACAGCATTATTCACAGTAGCCAAAAAGTGGAAACAATCCAAATCCACAAAAAAATGTGGTATATCTATACAACGGAACAGTATTTGACAATAAAAAGAAATAAAATACTGATCAATGCCACAACATGGATGAAACTTGAAAATATTACGCTAAGTGAAAGAAGCCAGAGACAAAAGATCACATATTGTGTTATACCATTTACATGAAGTTCTGGAATGGGCAGTTTACGTACTATCTACAGCCACTTTCACACTCTCACAGCAAATCTCTCTATGGATTTACAGAAAGCAAAAGTAGATTAATGAGCTGGGGGAGGGAAGAGTGAAGGAAAGGCACACTGCTAATGGGTCTGGGGTTTCTTCTTAGAGTGATAATGTTCTGAAATTAGAGCCTTAGTGGCGATGGTTGCAGAACTCTGTAAATCTATTTAAAACCAATGACCTATGCACTTTATTTGATTGGGTGGATTTTATGGTATGTGAATCATATCCCAAAACAAACTATTCTTAAAACAAAAAAAAAATGTTGATTGAACCTTTTATTCTCTTATTTTTTTTTTTTTGAGAAGGTGTCGTGCTCTGTCGCCCAGGCTACAGTGCTATGGCACAATCTTGGCTCACTGCATCCTCCGCCTCCCAGGTTCAAATGATTCTCATGCCTCAGCCTTCCAAGTAGCTGGGATTACAGGCACCTGCCACCACGCCCGGCTAATTTTTTTGTATTTTTAGTAAAAACAGGGTTTCACCATGTTGGTCGGGCTGATCTTGAACTTCCGACCTCAGGTAATCCACCCACCTCAGCCTCCCAAAGTGCTGGGATTACATGTGTGAGCCACCGCGTCTGGCCTATTGAACCTGTTTTTTCATTGCTGAAAACGATATACTTCATAATTTAGACAGTTACTATTGAGCTATAAAGTAAAAATCTCATTTTGGCTATCAGTTTTTATATAAAGAAAGAAGAGTCAGGTTTAAGAAGGGTTTATAGGCCGAGTGCCATGACTCACATCTGTAATCCCAGCACTTTGGGAGGCTGAGGCAGGTGGATCACTTGAGGCCAGTTCGAAAACAGCCTGGCCAACATGGCAAAACCCCATCTCCACAAAAAGTACAAAAATTAGTCAGTCATGGTGGCGCATGCCTGTAATTTCAGCTACTCACAGCTGAAATTAGGCAGGAGGCGAAGGCAGGAGAATCGCTTTCACCCAGGAAGCAGAGGTTGCAGTGAGCTGAAATCACACCACTGCACTCCAGCCTGGGTGACAAGAGCAAAACTCCATCTCAAAAAAAAAAAAGAAAAAGAAAAAGAAGGAAAGAAAAAAAGAAAGAAAAGGTCTATAGATCCCCTTTTGTGATAGCTCAGATTTTGTGACAATTTAAGCTTACTGACAAATCTTAAAGCCTTGTGCTCAAGGGGAAAATGTTTTTCAGCATAATCTATAAGAAAACATGTAACAGCCCATTCCAAAACTTTGCTGTATGGTATATACCATTTATGAAAGCTTAGCTGCAGCAACATAAACACATTTATATAACAGCACAAGAGGGAAGGGGGAAAATACTATTTTGCCCACTTACCCTCAAATAAAAGACAAAGCCATAAATAAGACACAGCAGAACAGGATAAACACATTTTGTGCCCTTATAGACTTACTGATGCCACTTACCGCCTGGGTCATTGGGCCTTGCTTCATCTTCAGTGTAGCAGCTATGCTCCCTACAGCCACTTCTTCAGAAATTGAACTTGCTCTAAAATCCACTTCATCTTCAGCTTTCACGTCTGGCATTTCTGAAAGTGCAGGGGGGTTACAGAGTACATTTTTAAAAACTGATTCCTGTGCCTTACTATTCATACAACATGCTCCAGGTTTCATGTGTTTTGTTTTGCTTTTGCGTTAAAATGGAAAAGTATTCTTTTGTTGTCAGCGGCTAGTGTCATTTCTGACCCTATGCTGAGCTATTCCTTTATCGCATGGTTACTGGTTTTCCCTAGCCTTTGTAGGCGCTTGGAACTAAGCGAGGATCCAATTCAATGTCTTTTGAACATCCATTTCACTATTGACTTTTTATGACAAATCTGAGTGTAGCACCAACTTGCATATGGAAAACTAAATTCATAAGCTTCAGGGGAACAGATTAATAGCTGAAGCTAGGTAGTCCATCTTGGCCATCATCAAAAAAGCAAGGATTTGTACAAAACAAAAAGGAAAAAGCCACTGAGAATGAGAAAAAGCCTCTGGGACAAGTATGACTTTCACTAACATACAACACACTCTGATCCACCCATCACTGTAACCAGTAAGAATGAACTACTCAGCAGTTACGTCTTATTTTTAACCCTTATTTCTTCCAAAACTGAAACCTAATCACAGACTAGCTATCCCTTTCTTAAGAGAAACGTTTCTGCGCATGTTTTCTCAAGAATTACATAGTTGTCCTCTTGCTGGCCATGTTGACAGACCAAAAACAGTGGTGGTTTTTGTTACCTGACCACCACATGGTCAAGCAAATACAGGAAGGAAATGATAAATGATGTCTGAGGCAAATTTAGGCTTCTGACACTTCTTTAAACGGGACTCATGATTGAACAGTCAAAATTCACCTTAATAATCCAAATGCAAATGGAACTGTCATCTCGATTTCATGTGGAAATGCATCTGTGGTTATTAACCTAGTGATGCCACTACTCTGGCAAGAAAAATGCTCCCCACACTAAAGAGCACAGAAGTTTCTTTCACCAAAGAATAAATTATATTAAGATTTTATTCTAGGAGCACATGACATGTACAAAAGTCTACCTTAAATTTGTAAGAGTTACATTTCTATAGATGAACCTCTTTTCTTCCTTCTTTGACCTTATAATTATATAATCTTACCAGCAGTTTAAAAATGGGTAAACAAGTTTCCTTGCCCAAAGAACCAAAATCTGTGTTAAATTTCATAAAATGTTATTAAAGTTAAAATCTGACTAAGCAATCCCCTTAGAACTATCCCTTGATCAAAACATCTCTAAGTGAGTCAGAGTAATTTCTGGGGGGAAAGAGGGTTGCTTTCCTCTGGGGATGTGATTTTTGGTACCTCCTTCCTTTCCTATACCTATCAACTTTGAAAAGATGCATCTTGGCACAGCAACCAGTCACACTAGAAAACAGTGATTACTCACACTTGACGGGTGTCGGCAGCCTCTGCAGGACTGGCGTGGCTCAGTCATGCATCACTGATTTCCTAAGCACTGTGGTCAATGCTTTTGGTGGGTCAAGGGCCACATCCCCTTCTTTCAAACTGGCTCCTTCCAAATCAGCAGTTAAACCTATGTCTTCTCACTCACAAAACAGTATGATTAAATCTATGAGTAGAATGTAAACTTGATAGAAAATACCCTTTGGCTCTGAGATCACACTCAGGTGCTTTTTCTCTAAAGTAATGTGACCAGGGATTTTCCCAATCCTGGCCATTTTCTGAAGAAAGTACCAATTTCTTCATGACTGGCTACTTTCTCTGTAGTCTGAGACCATCAATACAGAGTTCCTCTGCAGTTTGAGACCATGAGTATGACTCCTTTTGGTAACAGGACAAGTAACTCACCTACACAAAATTTACCAACCTCAAGCCCATATATACTGCTGAAAGTCCATACATTTTTCTTCCTTCTCAAAACCTCAAAATCCTAAACATCCGTCATTTCTCACCATCTTTACTATATGTGCTAATAAAAATCAAAGTCTGAAATTCTCCCTGGTTTTTACTTTTTCTCATAGGATACTACAGACACAATCCCCACAGAGTTCACACTTGCTTGAGTCAAATTCTGACCACTGAGCCAGAAAGAGAAATAATTCCGGCCCATGTGGCCAAGGACGCAGCACCGAAATGAAAAGAACATCACCAGGCATCAGCTTACAGCCACTCCCATTCTTCTGAAATGCCAACCTGCCAGGGCCCCCAAAATAGACTTGTTGTTGTGGCTTTTTTTAAAAATTAGAGACCTCATTTAAATCCTGAGACAACAGCCAGCAAGTATCTATCACTAACAATCCAAAACATTAATAAAACTAAAAAGCTAAAGTCATCAAAAATTCTACCTCGGATTCCTTAAATCCCTCAACTGGGGAGGAAAAAGATTATAAACGGCTAAAAGCCCTTTACCAGGGAAAATAACCACTGTATTTAAATTGCGCTTCTTCCAAAGCAACTTCTTTTGCTCCATTGATTCATTTCTCTCCATAACCCTCCCCCACATTCTTAATACATATGTGTAAAGGGATTTTCAAAAATTGAAAAGAACAGCAAAAATAAACAATAAAGACAAAACAGGCTGCTTCTTACCTACAAAAGCCTAGGGGCAAGCATGGAGATAGGTCTTCTGTCTACAGCTGGTAACAGGTGGTGGTATAGAAGTGTGCATCAAACTGACCTTTAAAGACTTCAGGAGCCAAGATCGTGTCCGACTCCCGTTTCAGCTTCAGCCTCAACCCCCGTTAAGAAGTTTTATTCAGATAGTTTATTTCCACGGAGCAATAGCGGTTTCTCTTTGCTGCCTCGGAACATGGTTACCCACAGATGGAACAGGCTGCTGTGTGAGCAATCTGCTCAGTGCAGCTGCTTCACCAAGATAAAGCAGACACAAGGTCTGCCCTGTGACAGCAGCTCAGCAGACTGGGCTTGGGCGGAAATCCTGCATCCTATCCCCTGCACTGTGCAGGGTCTTGAATTCTCAGACTGCTGCCCAAAAGCAACAGGCAATGGAACTAGAGGTCCACTCCCCAAGCAGGAAAAGGAAGGAGTTCCCCGTCAACAACACCCCTAGCCCAAAAAAAACAAAAACAAACAAACAAAAAACCACCAATGACCTAATACCACCATTTTGGATGTTGGGAAGTCAGCTCAGAACAATACTTACAGCTGTTCATGAAACCACTCTGACTCTAAATTTGCTCAGAATACAGACTAGGATGATAGGGGAGGAAGGGAGTTTCAGGCTTGTAGATAAAACACAGCTTTTTGGCACTGTTTTCTATGGTACTAGAGAAAAGGATTAAGCCATGTGAATAAAAACATCTGCTAAATTCTTTCACCACTTTAGAGTACCTGTGATCTAGGCATTGTTTTCTAGGTTTGCAAAGTTGCAACCACTCCAGAATGAGACAGGAGTGTTTATAAGCTTAAGCAACCAAGCAGTAAGTCTACAATACAGGAAGCAAAATCTGTCCAACCCTGAGATGACGTGCCCCTCCTGATGGTGGTGACTATTAACTTGGCTACCTACCCAATGAGTGCAAGGCCTCAAAACAACAAAGATGCCTATATTTTTACCAGGACACCACAGTGACTCTTAAGGGAATCTGCTTCTCAGACTGTTAATTTTGTATTATGTTTTGCTTACCTGCTGCTGGCTCAGGCCCCTGGACAGGTAAAATGATCTTCTCTGGCTCCTCCCTTCCAGCAAAACATCCTGCAAGGCTCCCCGTGGCTTCCTCAGGAGTACTGCCCATTGGTAGGCTCTCCCCAGGTGGGAAAGTACTCACTTTTTCTGTAAAAGCACTCTCTAGTCCTTTAGTGAGAGGACCCAACTCAGGGCTGGACAGTGACATGTGACAGGCCTCCCCCTCAGTAAGCAGTGCTCCAGCGGCCTTGACTTGTTCGATGACAGCATCCACTATACGGCTGGCAGCCTCCTCTATCAAGTCTGCCCCCTTAGGCAGAGGTGCGTCCTGGGCAGAGACCATGCAAGGTAGAGAGGGAGTGCTCCTTTCCCTGCCTGAAGGCGGGGCTCGCATGACTTCCCTCACACCAGCTGGGGCCCCATCATCATGGGCTGAGAGCTCCATGTCTGTGGGGAGCTCCTTGGCAACAGGCTGCAGTAGGACAGGATGTGCTTCATCGTCTATTTGGGCTTCCTCAGCGTCACCCATGGTACAGCTGTGGTCTGCTCCCTCCAGCTTCCCTTTCTCCCAATCAAGAGGTATCATCTCTGGGGTTCCAACTCCCTGTGGGTCAGTCACAGCTTTGTCCTGTAGAGCCACTGGCAAACCTAGAACGGCATTCTTCTCTTGGCTCAACAAGACGTTTGGAATCAGGATGTCTTGGGTGTTGTGTGATATATTCTCTCTTCTGGGCTCAGCCATACCTTGTAGAGCATTAACCCCTGTAACATCCACCGTCACATCTCCACTCACCTCACAGGCACTAGTTTTTCCCTGGGATTGAGTGTTCTTCACTCCAACATCCAGAGGAGAAGGCTGACTGCAGTTAAGAGCATCGGACCCATCAGACCCATCTGGCAACAGACATGGCAACAGAGCGGAGCTGTTGTGCTCTGCCCCCAAGGCTTCCTGCCTTGACTCTGTGGCCAGACTTGCTCCTGGTGGCACCAGGCTCTGGGCAGCCCCACCTTGAGTCAGCAGTGAGACTTGTGGGGCCACTTCCTTGTTATGTTCAGTTTCTGCCTTAAGAAAGGCAGAGGATGCACCCGGTGAATTACTTAGCTGAAGTGCTTTGTCCTTGGCACAGTCAGCTGAGATTGATTTTTCATGAAATTGTTGAGTATCTTGTCCAGGAGGTGGTGTTCTCTGCTCTTCCTGCAAAGTTCCTGAAGAGAGAGCATTTTCCTTAATAGAGGAACAGGTCACCGCTTTATCCTTATCTTGTTCCTGAGCTGCAGAGCTTTCTGAAACCACCAGAAGTTTTCCTTCTTCAGTCAAAACTGAATCTAAAGCCAAAGTGGCCTTACCCACACTTTGCAGGGAAGAGTCAGTGTTCCCCTTGATATTCAGAGCTTCTGGGATTGCTGGAGGGGCGGGACCCTCATGCTCTCCACCAAGTCCTGTGAGACTGGTATTCCCCATCCCGTGCTGAAGCTCTGCAGCAGTGGAGGATGTGGACAGGCCTACTGCCCTGTCTTCTAGTGGCCGCGTATCAGGCTCATTCGAATTTCCATCTGGGCCATCTCTATAATCTGTAGCTGTATGTAGTTCAGGAGTTGCTGTTCCCTTTTCTTTCTGGGAGGGGACAAAAGAAAGTGCGTCATCCTTGGTTACTGATTCACTGCCTGGACTGTTTGCCAGAGAGAAAGTACTGTCTGATATTACTGCCTGGTCTGGCACCAGTTCTTTCTCCATTTTAGGGACAACTGGATGTGGATGTGAAACCACCTCAAGCATATTTGTTAAAGGTTTATCTAGTTTCACATCTTTTCGTTGGCCTTTGTTATCCACCACTTTGAAAGGACAAAAATCCGCACGTTCCTGGGTATCCCTTACAGGGTCAGAGGTGACTGTATGAGCCTGTGGGTCTTCACAGTGGGAGGCATCGGGTGGATCTTGTGAGCTGGGTTGCCTTGCTGTGGTGCTTTCGGACTCGCTAACTATGTTATCACACAGTTTTGCAACCAAATCGCCACTAGAAGTCACTGTGTTCTGTTGACATGCAGAGTCTGCACAAAGTTTATCGTCTCCAGTTGTAGAACAAATGGGTGAGGATTTGCCCTTTTGGCTTTGAGCATGAGATGAATTTGTTTCTGAGTTCTGGTGTGGCATTACATCTTCTTCCAGCCCAAGAAGGGCTAAATCTGAGGGTGACATTGCCTCACCTATGCCTGCTGCTAAGAGAGTATAAGGTTCTAATCCATCTGAAATCTTGTCTTTTGCAGCAGCTGGAATCACCACAGAATTCTGATCTACTGGAGCATCAGCACTCTCCTCACGACTTCGTGAAGTTTCCGTTTCTGCTGTTTTTTCAGTGGAGGTTTCTTCATTACTAAATGCAAGTGAAGACTCAGCAGGTTTGTTACCATCCAGGGAACTGGCAGCAGGGGCACAGTTTGGAACACTGATTTTATCCACAGGCTTACTTGTGACGTGCACGTCAGAGGCTCCAGCTGTGCCAATATTAGAGTTCTCAAATCTTTCCTTTGTACTTTCCCCTCCCTGAAGCACATTCTTCCAAACAGTGGCATCTGGGTTCATGAGCCCATGTTCCATTTCCCCTGCAGTGTCTGGGGTACTGACATTTGTTGTTGAAATGCCTCCCAGTTCACCTCCAGAGGAATACTGGGCTGTGCCTGGCTCCATGACCAAGTCTCTCTGAAGCACAGCATCTCCACTGCTCAGGGACTCCTGGTCTGTGGGCATTCCAGAAGATTTTGTTCCAGTTTCTTCATTTCTGTTTCCACAGGACGAAAGGCCTTCCGTGCCCTTTACTCCACAATCAGGCAAGCTCTGAAGGCAGCTGTCTTGATCAGATACAGTTCCAGAGTCCACAATAGGTGCTGGCTCCACCTCTTCCCCTTTTCTTTCCACGCCTTTATTTTTCTTCCTACAGGAACGGTCTGTATTCTCCTCCTCAACTATGCTTGACAAATCACAGGGACTTTCAGTCTGTGCAACAGGGCTCCCTGGGCAGCACTGAGTGCTCTCAGTCTCTTCAGAAGAAGAAAGTCGCTGAGGGTCCGTGGGCTCCGGTGCACAGGGAAGAAACTGGCCATCTGTCTCTGGGGCACTGGAAGGATCCTGTGCTGTCATCATTAAGGGCATAAGACTGTCCATCTGCTTGAGGTTTGTTTTCTAGGAGGAAATGAAATACACTTTTAAAAAACTGCCTGTAGGAGAAGATGTCACTGACACCTCTGAGCAAAAATTCTGTTGGACAGAACTCACTTCTATTCTAGCTCTTCTAAGGTCACATGATAAGCGAATCTAAAAGAATACAAATAAATTTCCTCTTATTTCTGATATTACTTTCCTTTCATATCTGCCTATATACTGGGATGTTCAAAATAGATTAGGATATATGAAATATCTATTTTCTAAATTTTGAACTTATTTTAGGAAGTAGATGAAAACTGAGTCTCGCCGGGCATGGTGGCTCATGCCTGTAATCCCAGCACTTTGGGAGGCTGAGGCAGGCAGATCACCTGAGGTCAGGAGTTCGAGACCAGCCTCAACATGGAGAAACCCTGTCTCTACTAAAAATACAAAATTAGCTGGGCGTAGTGGTGCATGCCTGTAATCTCAGCTACTTGGGAGGCTGAGGCAGGAGAATTGCTTGTACCCGGGAGGCGGAGGTTGCAGTGAGCCGAGACAGCACCACTGCACTCCAGCCTGGGCAATAAGAGCAAAACTCCGTCTTAAAAAAAATAAAAATAAAAGAGTCTCAAAAACCTGATTTTTAAAAAGCTCAGTGAATATCTTCAATTGAGCTGCTAACATTAAGGTGGGCTCTCTCATTCTGAGGCCAGGCTGAAGTGCAGTGGTGTGATCACAGCTCACCGCAGCCTTGAACTCCTGGGCTCAAGTGACCCTGCCGCCTCAGCCTCTTCAGTAGCTAGGACTACAGGTGTGCACCATTGCACCTGACTAATTGTTTTATTTTTTGTAGAGACGGGGTCTCACTATGTTGCCCAGGCTGTTCTCCAACACCTGAGCCTATGGGATCCTCCTACCTTGGTCTCCCAAAGTGCTGGGATTATAGGGCCTACACCACTGTGTCCCACCTATATTTTTCATTGTCTTCAGAAGGGCAGAGTCTACTTACACCCTGCCTCATATATACAAGTAAAAACAAATCCTAGCTCTTTTCCATTACAAGGTGCAGCCAATGTGCCTGTGCCCTAAATACTTACTGAGTTCAGTGTCCTTTAATCCCCAAAATATGTTCCAACCAATCTAACTTAACCATCGAGTTATGGGGTCATAATTTCAGGAACAGTGGCATGGCAGATATTCTTTCACCTTTTGATAAAATCAGAACATATTAAATATAAAATAAATGAGAACATATACCTATATACTGTCAGAGTATATTATGGATACTATATGTAATCTCAAAAATGGATTTTGCAACTTTAAAGTATTTAAAAAATATAAACAGATATAACCAACAGCATGGGAATGATTAAGAAAATCAAGGTTCATAAAACTGATGGAAGAAATACTAGCCATTATTAACTATGAGGACCATATTGCAATTAGAAAAAAATTATTAATCTAAGTTTATAAATATGCAAAAATCCCATGTGCATGCAGCAAGGTTTAAAATGGAGAAAAACAAATACAGGTGATCTTTAGTGATTTTACCTTTATATCAAAATTTCAAAAATTCTTATAAAAATATTTTCTCAACACCTAAAATCTATTTTTCCAAACATCTGGTTTGCTCGCCATTCATTCATTACCTGATCTACTGCAATAATATGCATACCTACTGCCATCCATCCTCTCATTCACCTACTCACTCAGTGAATATATTGGGCACTTACAGGGTTCCATCATCAGACCATTCCTATCTACCTACTGAGCCTATTGTAAAAGTTTATATGTACAAGTGTAAAATGTGTCATGCTTGTTAAAGTCTTTCTAGTAGAGTGTACAAGCAAAATGGACTTTCACTAAAAGCTTCTGTGTTAGGCTCCTTAAGAGTATTCAAAATTAGCTTATTTCCAGTCCTGCTGAGAGTACGACAGTCTCCTAAAAATCAGGAAATGAAGTCATTAAATTTAATAAATGGTAAACATTATAAAACAGAAATCTGGCGAAACAAGTAGTGTTGCCTAAAGAAAGTAGCACATGTATGTTCCCACAGTTTTAATTTCTCGTATTTGCCTGCCAACCATTTCCATATCTTGGCAGGTAGCTTTGGTACCTGCAAAACTATATTTTCAAGTGAACTACCATTCACCTAGTAAAAAGAGCTCTAAGGAAAAACCTGATTGCCTAGAAGTCCATTCAGAGGAAAATGAAATGTCACGTGCTCTGGAACAAACACAATTCTAAAACACAAAAGTGGGAGCATCACATAACCCTATGGAATTTCTTGGCTTGCTGGTCTCAAATAATGCATGCTCCCAAAGAAGCCTCTGGCATTGAGCTGACCTTAAATGAAATTACTGTCCAGTGGTTTCCAAATCAAATCAGCTCTGAAATAAACTGGGTGGAAAAATTACCTAAACACAGCCTTTCAGATGTTATGCCCAAGAGAGATGTACACATATGACGTTTATGTTATTCGTAATAAATGCTAACAGGGAGTCTGTAATGTTTTTATGTCTGGCAACAACTTTATCTTGAAGACTTGAGTGGATTATAAAATCTTTTCTGTTTTTTTTAGCTATCTTTGTACCATACAACTATTGATTTAAATATAGTAACACTATATTTAAATGGTACATATCATCGCCACTAAAATAGTTGTAAAAATACTCCTGATTAAATTTGGTTCTTGTTCTTTGGCAACAATCTCAGAAACTGTTGGTTCTTTCATTTTGTAAAGTTAAGCCAAACACAGACAAATATCCTTTTATGCCAGAAATTTAGTTCTAGTTGTTGCATATTTCTGTACCTGAAATGTGTGTCTTCCATTATTCCCAAAACCAATGAAAAAAACCTCTCAGTCCCCCTACGGCTACAACCTTAATGCTAGCTCTGATCTGTAAGTGGTAACATTTAATACTGCTAATACTGCTTTACAGGTCTCAGAATCTTTGGGGAAAGTCCTTCTTTTTCTGTTTTTGAGACAAGGTCTTGCTCTGTCACCCCGGCAGGAGTGCAGTGGTGTCATCTCAGCTCACTGCAACCTCTGCCTCCCAGGCTCACATGATCTGCCTGCCTCAGACCCCCAAGTAGCTGGGACTATAGGCGTACGCCACCATGCCCAGCTAACTTCTGTAGAGCCAGAGTTTCTCCATGTTGCCCAGGCTGGTCTCAAACTCCTGAGCTCAAGTGATCCACCTGTGTTGGCCCTTCCAAAGTGCTGGGATTACAGGCATGAGCCACTGTGCCTGGCCAGGAAAGTTTTTTTTTTTTTGAGACGGAGTCTCGCTCTGTTGCCCAGGCTAGAGTGCAATGGCGTGATCTCGGCTCACTGCAAGCTCCGCCTCCTGGGTTCACGCCATTCTCCTGCCTCAGCCTTCCGAGTAGCTGGGACTACAGGCGCCCGCCACCAGGCCGGCCAATTTTTTGTATTTTTAGTAGAGACAGGGTTTCACCGTGTTAGCCAGGATGGTCTCCATCTCCTGACCTCGTGATCCGCCCGTCTCAGCCTCCCACCAGGAAAGCATTTTTATGTTCTAATTATATCAAGGTTCATTGGAGGAGGGCGGGGACACACACATACAAAACACACACATACACATGCATATACTTAAAAATAAAAGCTTTCTGACTTACCATTAGTTGCTGTTGGATGTTCATAAGTTTAAAAATTGGTCCAGTGCAACCGTCTCCAGGAAATGGGTGTTCATGATGTGAATCAGACTCAGAGGTTAATGTATAGATGTCCAACTCTCGATGATGCCTCACAGAACAGTCTCCATACGGTATTTCATAGGATAAACTGCTCCAGGAGTCTGGTTCTCCAGCATTCTCCCTACATGCAAGCATCTCTGGTTAATATATATACATTCTGCCTCCCAGGCATAGGCTTAACGTTCTAAGTCTTACTTCGTATTTCTAACCTGATTGTTCTTTGAGGTTCAACAGCAAAAATTAGTATATATACCTCCCAAATGATTCAGGCATATAACCAATAGCTCCATCCTCCTCACAAGAGATCACAAATGGGTTAAATGAAAACTGCAGGACTCCTAGCCCTAACAATGTTCTTTAGATCAAGATAAAGAGATATGTGGGATCTAATAATAGTTAATATTATGCTAACAACCAAGTAATGAGGAAGTGCAAGGAAGATGGTTTTAGCCTGATTTTCAACAAAATCAAGGCTTATTAAGAGGTGCTCTTAAAATAAATTAGACCATATGCTAACTACAGTCAATTATAATGGCAAGAGAAGAACCACTCACTCCAACCCTTACAAGGGCACTCCAACTTTTCTAACAATAGGTGCAGAAAACACCCTCAAGATTATTGAAGTCAATTACACAAAGAAAAACTGTTACAATGACATATTGTTCAACACTTGTCAATATAATTATCATATCCTATTTGGAATAAAGCACTTGGTTCCAAGAACTTAAAGTTAAAATTCGTAAAATTTAAAAAACAAGCAAGTTTGCTCAACTCATATCATTATAAACAAATATAACAACTTTCCACCATTATACGCCAACTGATTTGAACAAGGCAAGTGGGTTTCTCCTCTAAAGGCTACAGCACCTCCAATTCCACCCTTGCATCCAGAAGGCATACCCATGCCCGTAATGCCTGCTGTGATACCACACATAATCTGCACTGTGCTTTTTTGCAGCAGATGAAAGAATCTTGGGGCATACAATAAACAGGGATGAGGCACACAATCATACCCCACACAATCTCATATTATTAACTATTGTACTTGAGCACGCATTTCAAGTGTTAAGCACCCTCTTCTACATTCAGCACAAATGTAAATGTCTGAAGTCCTAACCGTTGGTGTCACTATTCTTTCTCATTAGTTTGATACACAGTGTGGTATACAGAGTTAGAGATTTCTGGGTACAAAATTTTATCTCCTAACTATATGATGCTAGACAAATTTCTTAACTTTTCTGAGCCTTAATTTCATAATATGCAAACACAGATATTATAATCTAAGCACTGTTTTGAGAATTAGAGAAAATGTGCATAAAAAACTACATCTATGGTGTTTGACACAGAGAAATCACACACGGATACTGCCTATTCTTCCTCCTTCTACTCTTTCATTCATTTAAAAATAATTCCTAGTAAGCCTTCCCTTCTTAAAAGTAGAAAAACATATCTACTTTTTTCTATTTTTCTACTTGTATCAGAAAATCCTACTTTCTCTGAAAGCTTTAAACATAATGAAAACACTCCTCAAACAGCATTCTGATAAGGTGCCTAGCAGCTCAAAGATCAGGCACAATAATAGATTATGCTTTCCATCAACCCTTTCCTCCTTATATGAAATGTTATTTTTCCTTTCCTTACAACATTAACACCTTTGAATATCCCATATCATATCATATTTATTTATTTATTTATTTATTTATTTTTGAGACAGAGTCCCGCTCTGTCGCCAAGGCTGGAGTGCGGTGGTGCGATCTTGGCTCAATGCAACCTCTAACTCCCAGGTTCATCGATTCTCCTGCCTCAGCCTCCTGAGTAGCTGTGATTACAGGCGCGTCCCACCACGCCCAGCTAATTTTTTTGTATTTTTAGTAGAGACAGGGGTTTTGCCACATTGGCCAGGCTGATCTCGAACTCCTGACCTCAGGTGATCCACCCACCTTGGCCTCCCAACCTATATCACAGTTATTATAATCCCACCAAAGCAAACAATAGATTGGTAAAGTATCCCTGAGATTTTGGGAGGAAGGTTATATTTGAGATCATTATCATGTTTTGAAATAGAAGAAACTAAAGAGTTAAGAAATTACAGACATGCTATCTAGCCACTGAAAAATATGAGAAAGATTACTTCAACTGTCTCTCCAGTTTTTTCTACTAAGTCACACCTGTCTGTCATTAACAATTCACCTGAGACTAATTGGAATTTTAAAGCTAAAAATATGCTACAGTAGCAGCCATAAAAAAGGATGAGTTCATGTCCTTTGTAGAGAAATGGATGAAGCTAGAAACCATCGTTCTCAGCAAACTAACACAGGAACAGAAAACCAAACACCACATGTTTTCACTCATAAGTGGGAGTTGAACAATAAGAACACATGGACACAGGAAGGGGAACATCACACACCGGGGTCGGTCAGGTGGTTGGGGGCTAGGGGAGGGAGAGCATTAGCAGAAATACCTAACGTAGATGATGGGTTGATGGGTGCAGCAAACCTCCACGGCACGTGTATACCTATGTAATAAACCTGCACGTTCTACACATGCATCCCAGAACTTACAGTGTAATAATAAAAAAAAAATTTTTTTTTTAATGCTACAGTGGAAAACGTATAAGGCAATGGAAAATCATGTACTGGCTGACGGTAATAATAATAAAGTGTACTCCAAAAACTACTATTACAACTTCCATACCCAAGAGTGGCTCCCCAAAAGCAGCTTAAAATAAGAATGGCATATGCTATACTACATGTTTTACATATTTTACTAAGTTGCTATACTCTGAGTGAAATGACCTCAAACAGAAAAGCACTTGTAAAATACTCTCGACAGTTCAAAGAAACGACTCAAGAAGTCAAATAGCGGGGAGACAACTTCTCTATCAATGTAGCTTTCAAGCCTACATTGACATAGTCACTAACATGCCTTATTGTGTGGCAGACATTAGTGGCATATCTGCTTAATCAGATTATCACATACAGCCATATTCCAACAAAAAAGATCTCTGAAAACAAAACCTGCTTTATATACCACCACTGAGCATGACCCAAATATAACAAGATTAGAGGACACTGTTTGCCAAGGCAGGAGCAATTAAAAAGTGATACAGTCCATTCTCCATGAAATGGAGTATTCTACCAACCTTCTCAAAATTAAATTTGAGAATTTAATTCTCAAACTGTTCCATTTCTAATATCTAAACCTTGGGAAATCCCTTTCTCTAACCACAGCCTACTTACCTTCTACCTCTCCCACTCTCACCTTCCAGAGGAATGTGCTTTTGTTGTCACAATTACCTCCAGGTACTAACCCTTCAATCTCCCAATTCATGTCCCTGGGGACTTTTGTTGCTTCCTTGTCCCTCTAGATACTAAAGATCAGTCATTGCAAGTATCTTCCCACTGGCTTCCATGAATATCTGTTGCTACTGACACTCTTCCAAACTCATTTCGCCTACAGGTCTGGGTAAGTCCCATCATCCATTCATTCAGCAAGTATGTATGTGCCAGGCACTATTTAAGGTACTGGTGAAGCAAACCAAAATCCCTGTTCTGTCGAACAAGGGAGACAACAGCAATCAAGATAAATAAGTAAAACACCTAGAAGATAGCAAGTGCTACAGAGATTAAAGCAGGAATGAAGGTTGCAATTTTAAATGTGGTGGATCAAGGGTGGCCTCATTAATGTGACATTTCAGAAAATACATTTCCTGCTCTGTGTTACCACCGTATAAAACCTTTACTGGGTCCACTAGTAAAATCTCGCAAAACTCTATGCATAAGAATGTTTACTGCAACTTTTGGCACAACTTCATTAAAAACTGGAAGCAATCTAACCAGTTAGTAACTGAAGCGCTGATTGGTAAATTAAAGAACAGATCTATAGACTATTATGTAGCCATTAAAAATAACTGAAATAAAAGTTCAATAACATTGAAATCTACAAAGTCCTGTGAAATAAGCAAAATAAAAAGTAAAAAAAAAGTACATAAGTCTAGTCTGTAAAACGCACAAATATAAAAAGTATCAGCGTGGTTGAGATATACATTTTACCAATCTTTTTAATAATTGCTTCAAAAGTTCCATTCAGCCAGGCCTCATTGCTGCTCAGTAATCCTTTTACTCACCTGTACACTAATCTTCCCCCACTGGGATTAAAGTTTATATAATTTCCTCTAATGCCAAACATTAACCTTGCCTACTTCATTCTCAAAAGACCTTTTCTCCTTTCTCAGTGATAAGCTTGAGGCCATCTAATGTAAGCCAAAACAACTGTCATTACAAAAAAAAAAAACAACAACAACAATGCATTTCCCCACCCTCTCCAACTTCAGGATACCTCTTCTAGACCGAGGTTTTGCTCTGTTTCTTCCTGCCCTCCTTGGGTCCCTGCTTCAGTAAATCATCCCCTGGCTGCCTGTGGTTTTCCACCCACTTCTGGACTAGCTCCTTCCCCACTCCAGCGGTAGGAATCCTTATTCAACCCTGTCGATCAGTTCTCACCCAAGGAATATGGCCCCCAGGGGACATTTGACAATAACTGGAGGCATCTTTGGTTGTCACAACTCAGGAGTAGGAGGGGATCCTACAAAGCACAGGACTGCTCCCTACAACAAAGAATTATCAGGCCCAAACTCGGTAGTGCTGGCATCGAGAAATCCTGCTGAACGCACTGAAACATGTTCTGTCTTCCTCTTCCTCTTTCCTTCAGGGAGTCTCACCATCTCTACCTCCTTTCCAGCCATTTCAACATTTTAAGGCTTTGTGGTCTGGCTCCTACTCACTTTGGTTTTTGTTTTTTGAGACAGAGTCTCGTTCTGTCACCCAGGCTGGAGAGCAGTGGCGCGATCTCGGCTAACTGCAACCTCTGCCTCCCAGGTTCAAGAGATTCTCCTGCCTCCGCCTCCCAAGTAGCAGGGATTACAGGGCGTGTGCCACCACACTTGGCTAATTTTTCTATTTTTAGTAGAGATGGGGTTTTGCCATGTTGGCCAGGCTGGTCTTGAACTCCTGAACTCAGGTGATCCATCCTTCTCTACCTCCCAAAGTGCTGGGATTACAGGCGTCAGCCACCACACCCGGCCTCCTACTCACTCTGAATGCTACCAAAGCTTTGTCACAGGTATCCAGTGATAAGTAAATATCAAAATCCAGTGGTTTTTTTTTTTTTTTTTTTTGAGACGGAGTCTCGCTCTGTCGCCCAGCTGGAGTGCAGTGGCACAATCTCGGCTCACCGCAAGCTCCGCCTCCCAGGTTCACGCCATTCTCCTGCCTCAGCCTCCCAAGTAGCTGGGACTACAGGCGCCCGCCACCATGCCCGGCTAATTTTTGGTATTTTTAGTAGCAACGGGGTTTCACCATGTTAGCCAGGATGGTCTTGATCTCCTGACCTTGTGATCCACCTGCCTTGGCCTCCCAATGTGCTGGGATTACACGAGTGAGCCACCACACCCGGCCCAGTGGCCTTTCTTTATCCCTGTCAACCCTGAGTTTTGCAGAATTTAAAAATGTTGATCTGGCTGGGCATGGTGGCTCACAGTTGTAATCCCAGCACTTTGGATCACCTGAGGTCAGGAGTTCAAGGCCAGCCTGGCCAACATGGCGAAACCCCCTCTCTACCAAAAATACAAAAATTAGCCGGGTGTAGTGGCGTGCACCTGTAATCCCAGCAACTCGGGAGGCTAAGGCAGGAGAATCGCCTGAACCCGGGAGGCAGAGGTTGCAGTGAGCCGAGATCGATGCATTGCACTGCAGCCTAGGCAACAAGAGTGAAACTCTGTCTCAAAAAAAAAAAAAAAAAAGAAAAGAAAAAAATATGTTGATCTGATTCTTCTTTTAAAATGTATTCTTATTTGCCATCCACAAAAATCCATCCTATACATCTACTGTTTTCCCTGGCTCCTCTTCCTCATCTCCTAGAGGTGAACACATCAATTCTCTGCATTCAGTCCTCTTCTTTCATCTATCCTTTCCCACAGCCCCAATTCACCCCCACAATCTCTTTCTCTTGACTCAAAGTCTCTCTTAGTTCTGCACCAACACTTCCAACTACTTTATGAATGTCTTTACCAGGGTGTCTAATGGGCACCTTCAAATTTCAAACCTCAATTTTATGTTACTCCATAATCAAAAGCAGCAGCAATGCCAAACCTATTTCCATTTATGAAACCACTGTTATCCCTAGCAATACCACTTCCCTTGCTCAGAACATTCTGAACATGTTGACTTCGTGTTTGCAATGCTTCCCCCATTCAGCTCCTTATTTCAAATCCTACAGGCACTGGTCTAGTTCAGACTTTGACTGAATTACCTGGACTCTTACAGCCACTCTTGTTATGGGGCAATTACCCTAGGGCCTTCACTACCCCCCAATCTATCAGAAACAACTGTTTCAAAGCAATAGTGACATCATTCTTTTGCTCAAAAGCTCTGTTCTACAAAACAAAACAACGTTTTTGTTGTTCTTTTTGTATTGAGAGTGAAATACATGTGTGCCTGTATCACCTAGGCTTTCTCTCTTCATCATAATCTTAATTCTGCGAAGCATCCTATCTCTACTGTATAGATATATAAAGCAAAGAGCCACAGAACTTCATGACCAAGGTCACCCAGCTAATAAGCAGAGCCAGAATACTATCTCTTTCCACTCTACCACAGTGCCTCTATAGGCCATGCCACACCAGCAACTCTTCTGCCGGGCCATCACCATTCTCCGTATTCACCGATGTTCTTTTCCAGCCACAATTAATCTTCTTATACCCCATTCTGCAGCCAAACTGTAAATGTGCATTCCTCAAAGACACCTCATCATCCAGGGATTCCAGACTATCCAAAACCCACCCATCTTTCGGTCTGGCTTACTGATCGCTTTTCCATTCTTTTCTCTATGGACATAGGATCTTTCCCCTCCTCCTTATTATATTACTCTCTTGTGACTTTTTTTTTCCTTTTTTCTTTTTTTTTGATAGAGGGTCACTCATGCTGGAGTGTGCTGGTGCAATCTCAGCTCACTGCAGCCTCAACCTCCGGGGCTCCAGTGATCCTCCCACTTCAGCCCCCTGAGTAGCTGAGACTACAGGCACGCACCACCATACGAGCTAATTTTTGGATTTTTCCTAGAGACACGGTTTTGTCATGTTGCCCAGGCTGGTCGTGAACTCCTGGACTTAAGGAATCTGCCTGCCTCAAGCAATCTGCCTGCCTCAGTCTCCCAAAGTGCTGGGATTACAGGCGTGAGCCACTGCGCCTGGTCTCTACTGGCTTTAAAAAATACACACACACACACACACACACACACACACACACACACACCTCTTTGGGCTATTTAATAGGTATTTATATACTTTTCTCAGCTCTCTAACTAGAACAGAAGCTCCATATTAGGTGTGGGACAGCGTCTGCTGGAGTTGCATTTTACTGAGGGTTTAAGATCCAAAGTTGGTACATAATATAAAAATACGAGTAAACAAAGTATTTCTCTTTATCACTTTTTTTTGGCCAGTTAACAAATAAAATCTTGGCCTAACATTTTTGGGCCATGTTACATAAAAACTACACATCTCCAAACAACAGCATCACAAAGCAGAACCGGACATGCACACAGAAGAGGAATGTGGGAATGGAGACCAATGAGGTTACAAACTGACTTCTCAACATAGAAAATGAGTATTTAGCTTAGTGTCTGCCCCTCTTCCCCAAAAGCACATGCACACAGCTTGTCCTTTTCTCTTCATAATAATTATAATTTTGTTAATGGGTACAAGGTACATTATTTAGGTGATGGTTATACTAAAAGCCTACAGTCACCACTACTACAAAATATGTCCATGTAACAAAACCGCACTTGTGGCTGGGCGTGGTGGCTCACGCCTGCAATCTCAGCACTTTGGGAGGCCGAGGTGGGTGGATCACAAGGTCAAGAGATCCAGACCATCCTGGCCAACATGATGAAACCCCGTCTCTACTAAAAATACAAAAATTAGCTGGGTGTGGTGGTACACGCCTGTAGTCCCAGCTACTCGGGAGGCTGAGGCAGGAGAATCGTTTGAACCCGGGAGGTGGAGGTTGCAGTGAGCCGAGATCACACCATTGCACTCTAGCCTGGCAACAGAGCGAGACTCCATCTCAAAAAAACAAAAAACTGCACTTGTATCTCTTAAATATATACAAATATTTTAAAAGTTACAATTTTGGTAGGATCAGTATTCAGTATCTACATTACTATGCATCTAGAAATGTTGTACACAGGTGATCTAAGTAATATACTATGATTACTTGCCTTACTTGTACAAATTATTTTTCTCTTGAATAAAGTCAGTCATTTCCGGTCAGGCACAGTGGCTCACGTCTGTAATCCCAGCACTTTGGGAGGCCGACGCAGGCAGATCACGAGGTCAGGAGATTGAGACCATCCTGGCTAACACTGGGAAACCCCGTCTCCACCCAAAAAATATAAAAAATTAGCCGGGTGTGGTGGCACACACCTGTAATCCCAGCTACTCAGAAGTCTGAGGCAGAAGAATCGCTTGAACCCAAGAGGCAGAGGTTGCAGTGAGTCGAGGCTGCACCACTGCACTCCAGCCTGGGCAACAGAGCGAGACTCCATTTAAAAAAAAAAAAAAAAAAAGTAAGTTATTTTCTTTTTTCTAATTACTCCCAACTAAAACTTTGTTTTAATGGTCTAGCCTCATAAACTAATATTAAAAGACCATTCAATGAAACATTTACTGAACACCTATTAAGTGGTAGGCACTATGCTAGAGGCTAGAGCTACAAAGATACATGACATCTGTCTCAACATTAATGTCTCAATATTAATTACTGTTAGCCACAGTTTGGCTTACTGAAGTTATTGCCACCTTCATAGATGCAAAAAAGCAGGAAAGAATGTATGAGGAGTTTTACCCTTATATGTGTGGCATCTTATGCACTAAATATAGCATATTTCATCAAAATTAAGATGCTATTACTTGTAAAGGCACCATCATCTTATGTACCACTAAGGCAAAAAACTGTTGCAAATTAAATTATGATAAAATGGTATAACAGCATTGATCAAAATGTACCTGATTTGAGATGAACATTTGAAGACACTGTAATAGAGTATAAATAAAGTGAATTGTCTCTCTGTAGCACTGGTAGTGATAGTACAAATAGTTCACATGAACCATTAGTTCCAACATCATCTGCTTCACAGTATGCTCTAACTTAATGTTACCATGCACCAATGTTACCATGCACCTATGTTCCCAAAGTATGCAACCAATGGACAGCAAACACCTGTGAATAAAGCAGCTCAGAGGCTTTATACAGAGCTGCAAGGAACCTGAGAGACCATGGCTTGGTACAATTTCACAAATACAACTAAGACACTAGTTTTCAAACTTCTAAGTAGCTGCATGTTTTCAGATAAAATCATATGCAGAAATAGAGTGGCTATGTGTGACAGGACCAGTAGAGGGAAGGAAAGGCAAGGCCCTGCTCTCTCTCTGTCCACTCTCCTTCTTAGGTGAACTATGAGGCCCATACCTAGAATCCTAGGTGTATCTGAATGCTCTACAATTCTAGCACAGAATTTCTTTATGTACTACTACCACATTTCCATTTTAAATCCATCTTCCACATTCAGTCTCCTTTAGACTTGTAAAATAACTACTCAGCATTCTCTTGACTGGAAGCCCTTCCTACATCTACAGTTGGTAATTAAGTTGTCCGTCAGCCTTGTGTTTCTGCCATAAAGAGGACTATGGCTGGGTATCTAAAATTTACCTTGAAAAATGTGAACAAAGATTATATTGTAACCAAATCAGGCCTTGCAGGACAGGAAAGCATAACCAAATGCACTAGAAATTCTGGTTGTTTCAGTTGGTGAATTAAGAGGCACCATAGCCTCAGCTGACACTTTAAAAAACCAGACAAAAAACAAGTGAAAGAAAGATCTGTAGATGAACGAATATAAATACTGCAGGAAGGTCCATAGAGATTTCTACTGCCTTCTGATTTTTTTTTTTAATTCCAATGAGGAAACTATCACCCTGAATAAACGAAATGGTACTTTACCACCAATTGTGGCAATGATGCAGTACAGGCATTGTTTCATTACTACTACATCAGACAGTGTTAAAGTCTCTTAGATTTTCACATTCAACCCGATTTCAAAACAGACTTTAAGATATGAAAAGCTGACAATATGATTACCTTGAAATTTTCAATCTTCCTGTCATGAGGTAATTAATATTGTTTTTAAACATCCTTTGGGAGCCCTGAATTGTATCTAGTTTCCAGCACACTTCCAGGAGCAGTCTCTCTTGTGAGCTCAGCAAGACTTGCTGAACTGCACTATAACAATCTTACTCATCTGGAAGCCCCATTGAGAACCAGGACCGTGTATCTCCTGACCTGCTGATCTCCACCACTCAGCACAATCTCTTGACATACACAGTTACTCAAGTATTTGTTGGGATTTCACTCCAGGGCAGAAGAGTACAAATATTCTTCTCTTTTACTCACAACGTTTAAGATGGTTTGAGATCATCACTCTCTGAAGAGACAGATAATCTAAGGAAGTAATTCTAATACAACCCAATGTAGTGGCAGTAATGGCTCAAAAGGCACAGGTGGCAAAGGAGACTAAACATGACAACTAAATCCAGTGTGTGATCCAGATCAGGAGGAAAAATACTTAAAAGAACACTATTAAGCAGATGGTGAAAAGTAGAATATAAACTACTATATATTAGATTATTGTATTAATGATAAATTACTAATTTTGATAAATGCACTGTTACTGTATTGACTGTCCTTGTTCTTAGGAAATATATGCTGAAATATTTAGGAACAGAAGGTCATGATTCTGCAACTTACTCTCAAAGACTTCAGTAAAATTCTATATATGTATATGTATACACACACAGATAAAGCAAATGTAACCAATGTTAAGAATCGGAGAATTTGGATGAAGGATATATAGGAGTTCATTGCACGTTTCTTGCATCTTTTCTGAGTTCAAAATTTTTCAAAATACAAAGTTAAATGTAAAACATTTTAATAAAGGCAGAGGTGAAAATTGCTTCATTCTTCTGTTATTATTACTTACTAAAGGTAGGGAAGAAACTAGTATTATTTGAGTATCTACTTAAACAGATACTGACAGAAAATTTTAAGTACACTAATTTAATCCTCTTATCAGTCCTTCAAAGTGGTAGTATTCCGGTTTCAGAGATGAGGAAATTGAGAACAGAAATATTAACATATTTGTTCAAGGTATACCACATACATTAGCAGTTTGATAAACCTCAGTTCAAAATCAAACTTTACCACTTACAAGAAGTGAGAACTTGAGCTAGATACTTAACCTCTTTGAGCATGCATCTTGACCTATAAAAAATGTAACAGTCCTTTTAAAAGGTTGCTGTGAAAAAGCAAAGAAAGTTGTTGTGGAAATTAATGAGGATAGTAAATAAATTATTTAATAATGCCTGGCACACAGTAGGCAGTCAATAAATATTAGCACCCTCTTACTTAGCACATTGCTAACAAGTAATAGATTTGAATCCAGGTTGGGCTGCTCCCAAAGCCTGTGCTCTCCCCCTTATATAATGCTGCACTACTTTAAGTGGAAAGGGCTGGCTTTTGTAGGAACAGTTCATGCGGTGCCCACAGCAGGAAGTATTCAGGGTAATTTGAATGCAACAAGGAGCAAAGAGGTCTTTAAGAGAAAAATTTTTTTATGAGTCAAAGGAATGTTCCTTCCAAGTAGAACATTTCTCAACACACATTCTCTGATAAAAAGTTCCAAAGTCCACCATCTGCTACATTGATCAACAGAATAGTGAGCGTTGAAGAGACTGACAAAATGTTGGACAAACTGCCTAGCCCAAATTCTCATTCTCCGTCTTTAAAAAAAAAAAAAAAAAAAAAAAAACAAGCACATTCTACTCAAATGAAGGACAATATTGATTCCGACAGGCTGGAAAATGGCATGCCCACATTGCTCACCATATTGTTCACAAAATTGACACCAACCTACCTTTTCCTACGAGGAAAAAAATACCAATTCACTACAAATTCATCTAATTATGTTCAACTGAGACTTCCCTAGAGGCTAAATCATAGTGTGGTATGGGAAAAGTACAGGTGCTAAAGTCTGAGTAGAATCCCATTTATACCATGGTCTGATCTAAGACAAATTATTTCGCTTCTATGAGCCAGAGTTTTTTATCTGTTTAAAGAAAAGTGGGGGCCAGGTGCAGTGGCTCACACGTGTAATCCCAGCACCTTGGGAGACCGAAGCAGGTGGATCACCTGAGGTCAGGAGTTTGAGACCAGCCTGGCCAATATGGTGAAACCCTATCTCTACTAAAAATACAAAAAAAAAAAAAACAAAAAAAACCTGCTGGGCGTGGTGGCGCATGCCTGTAATCCCAGCTACTCAGGAGGCTGAGGCAGGAGAATCGCTTGAACCCAGGAGGCAGAGGTTGGAGTGAGCCGAGGTCGCGCCATTGCACTCCAGCGTGGGCAACAAGAGGGAAATTCAGTCTCAAAAAAAAAAAAAAAAAAAAAGAAAAGAAAAGAAAAGAAAGAAAAGGAAAGTGGGATAACAGCAGTTTTCTTACAGAGGCTCAAGGATTAAGATATAAGGACAGAGATATATATATATATATATATATATATATATATTTTTTTTTTTGAGGCAGATTCTCACTCTGTCACCCAGGATGGAGTGCAGTGGCACGATCTCAGCTCACTGCAACCACCACCTTCCAGGTACAAGCGATTCTCCCACCTCAGCCTCCCAAGTAGCTGGGATTACAGGCGCTTGCCACCACGCCCAGCTAATTTTTGTATTTTTAGTAGAGACGGGGTTTCGCCATGTTGGCCAGACTGGTCTCAAACTCCTGACCTCAGGTGATCCGCACGCCTCGGCCTCCCAAACTGCTGGGATTACAGGTGTGAGCCACCACGCCCGGCCGAGATATATATTCTTAATATGCATACTACTAGTAAGTACTCATTAAATACTGGTTTCTATTTCCACAACATAACCACTTCCTTTTATTGTTAATATTTATCAACTGCTTAACAATGTATCAGATATTGAACTGTGCATTTGGTACACATCATCTCATTTACTCTCGTAATCATTCTGTGAAGGAGAATATTATTACCGTAATTTGCAGGTCAGGAAACTGAAGTTGTGAGAAATGTAGTAACTTGCCTAACAGCTACTAAGTAATGGAGCCAGCCAGCATTTGGATCAACAATCTAAACCAAAACACAAACCTACCTCTGCTGCCTATTTTGTAGCAGAGAATGCAGACAGACGAAACTAAAAATATAAATAATTTTAAAAATACACATTTTGAGAGACTAGTGTGCAAGTTCTAGATCATTGCGTACTATGGATATGGGTACAGAAGTTAGTAGTCCATGGCGTCTATGGTCATTTTTCTCTTGCTTTTCATCCTGAGGGGCTACTTCACTCCCTTTCTCAATGAGTCCATAACTTCTGGAATACTACATCACTCCAATAGCCAAAGTTGTATTTTTTAGTCCTACCTTACTGTACTGGTTTCAAGATCTCGAAAAAAGTGATTTTCAGCATACTGCCACTGTATTAGTTATAGATGCATCGATATCTAATATACCAACATTCACAAGATTAGTAAAAATTAAAGTTAAATCAATTTTATACTAGACAGACGTATAAATTTATTGATGTGATCAAAGTATTTAGTTGGTTCCTCTTACTGAATCAGATTTAAGCCACCAACCTGATTCAACAAATAAATCAATTTTCAGATGCAATGTTAAGCTCAATCTCACTAAAGTAACCTTTTAACCTTAGCTGCACTTTGAAATTGCCTGGAGAGCTTTTAAAAATCCTTATGTCCAGAGGCTGGGCATGGTGGCTCACGCCTGTAATCCCAGCACTTTGGGAGGCCAAGGCAGGTGGATCACCTGAGGTCAGGAGTTCGAGACCAGCCTGGCCAATGCGGTGAAACCCCGTCTCTACTAAAAATACAAAAATTAGCCAGGTGTGGTGGCGGGCGCCTGTAATCCCAGCTACTTGGGAGGCTGAGGCAGGAGAATCACTTGAACCTGGGGGGCGGAGGTTGCAGTGAGCCGAGATTGCGCCGTTGCACTCCAGCCTGGGCGGCGAGTCAAACTCCGTCTTAAAAAAAAAAAAAAAAAAAAAAAAATCCTTACATCCAGATGGCATATCACATCTATCAAATCAAAATCTCTAGAGGTGGTCCTCAGGCATGAGTGTTTTTTAAAGCTCCTGCAGAGACTTTAATGTGCAGCCAAGGTTGTAAAACACTGCATTAAAGTAACCTACAGGTGGCAGTTACTTAAAAAAGAAAAGCAGAGTTAATACTGGCCACATTGCAATGAATATGGGAGTTGCAAACATCATTTCCTTTGACCTAATTATACAATTCCTTGAAATTTAGCCTAAGGAAATAATTTAACAGAAGCAAAAAATCAGTAGGTAAAAGATAAGGCTCACTCTAGCACTCACTAGTTTTAATTTTTTTAAAAATCAGAAATTGATATTCAATATTAGTTGAATAATTTACTCATAATAAAAGAGGGCCTCAAAAATATTTATAAAGACCATAGAAATAGATAAAAATATGACAAAGTGAAACTATCAGACTACAAAATGGAGCATCAGCTACAACTGTTATTAAAAATTCCATACAATATGGGAGGTAATATCTGATAATAAAATAAACCTGTCTTATGCAGGTGCATCATGAATATTATTATGTACAACTTAATTATTAAAAATAAATAAATAGGCTGGGTGCAGTGACTCACACCTGTGTTCCCAGCACTTTGGGAGGCTGAGGTGAGAAGATTGCTTGAGGCTAAGAGTTCAAGACCAGGCTGGGCAAAACAGGGAGACCACCCCCACTCTTTGCAAAAAAAAATTAGCCCGGCCTGGTGGTGCACACCTGTAGTCCTAGCTACATGGGAGGCTGAGGCGAGTGGTCAAGGCTGCAGTGAGCTATGGTCTCACCACAGCACTCTAGACTGAGTGACAGACCAGCAAGAGGAAGAATTAATTGATTATTTTATTTTTACTGTTTTTTTTTTTTTTTTTTTTTTTTTTTTTAGGTGGAGACAGCAGGTATCACAGGAGCTCCTTGAAACGAACACAGGAGTAATAAACCATGACGCAGACATCTGCGCTTAGGCTCCAATGCAGTTATATTTAGTTCACAGTAGACCAACACCAACATCAAATAGATCCTCATCTAAGAAACAATCCCAGATAATCTTTACTCACTCACTAATGTACTTTTTCTTTTCCAACCTTCTCACCCCCCAGATGACTTAGAGCATCTAAGTGATTATAAGTTATAAGTGATTAAATAAAGCAGGGGTCCCCAACTCCCATGCCACAAACCAGTACCAGTCTATGGCGTGTTAGGCCACACAGTAGGAAGTAAGTGCAGGCTAGAGAGTGAAGCTTCATCTGTATTTACAGCTGCTCCCCACTGCTTGCATTACCACCTGAATTCCGCCTCCTGTCGGATCAACGGTGGCACTAGATTCTCACAGGAGCGTGAACCCTATCGTGAACTGCGTATGTGAGGGATCTAGGCTCCTTATGTGAATCTAATGTTTGATGATCTGTCACTGTCTCCCATCACCCCCTGATGGGACTGTTTAGCTGCAGGAAAACAAGCTCAGGGCTCCCACTAACTCTACATTATGGTGAGTTGTATAATTATTTCATTATATATTACAGTGCAGTAATAACAGAAATAAAGTGCATGATAAATGTAATGCGCTTGAATCATCCCCTCAACCATCACATCCCCTCCTCCCACAGGTCCATGAAAAAACTGTCTTCCACAAAACCAGTCCCTGGTGCCAAAAAAAATTGGGGACCACTGAAATAGAGATTTCTATTTAAATATTATTTAAATTTGTATTTATACACAAACTAGGTTGATCTATGTCAGAACTTGTGTTGTCTCTGTCTATTCCATGACAGTTATTGGCTTACTAGCTACTTAACTGTCTTCTGTTTAACCAGTGCTTCACGCCACTTAGTGAGGCTGAGAAACACAGGCCCCTGAAAATTATTTTCAAAGCGAGAACATTACCACTGTTGACCAAGATCAACAACAGTGGTAATGAGAACAGGAAAAAAGAGAATTGCTTACAAAATAAGCTGAAACTTGGAAAGAATGATATAACTGAATAAAGTAATTTCAAACCGATGACAGAAAAAAAAGTCAAATTTCCAAGAAATGAGGGGGAGGGGACGGCAAAGGGAGGGAGGAGGAGGAGGGAGGGGAAAGGGAAGGGAGGAGTACACACTCATCTTTAAAATGTCAAAAAGTTTCTTTAGCTTTCTCGTGGGGCAAAAACACAAAACAAAATCAAACAGAAACCCTGTAGGATTACCAATTTAAATAACAGAATCAGGAGAGAAAGGAATGCACATCCATTTCTTCCAGTTTTATTTCTGAAGATCATGAGAAACTTAAACATGATAGAAAGATTAAGAACTAAATATGAACCCAAAACTCCAGTGTAATGGTGAACGTTAAAATCAGCTGATTAACAAGCTTCCAACTTAATGGAGAAGCGATGTGTTCCATACTTACAGAAACTGGTAACTTTAATCACAAAGAAGTCATCACTCTGTAAACTAGCTTTTCCAGTTCAGGAAAAAAGACACATTTTTGCTCATTTGTCTAGGCAGGACCCCCATCTTCAGGCACGAAGTTCACTTAACTATGTGTGAGGTTATCATCACTAAAATTCAAGAAAAGAACCCATACTCAACAAGTCCAATAAGCTTCTAATGACCTTGCGTATTTTTATATAGCCCACTGACCTGATTCGGCACTTTTCATAAGTTATAATTAAAGTTGATTAATCCTATTTAAAAACAGTTACATTAATAAAATAGGTCCTCATAAAGAGATAATGTCTTTTGGACAAACTAGATGTGACTTTTCTCATGTTTCTCCTGTAATTTGCTGCTTTTGCAGAAACATATAACATTGATTTACTCTCCCTCATAATAGCACTGCACAATAAACAGGTAAGGTGGGTCAGAGAACTTCTCAAATTACTTACAAGCGATCAGATTTTTTTTAACTTTTCAATTCATCACTGAAGCAAAGATTCTAAAAATGAACTACTGGAAAAATGAAATTTAATGTGCACAGATTCTGGGGAGAAAAACTACTGGCAGAAGAGATAAGAGGCATAGCATAGATAGGAATACGGCATGTGGTATAAGCTATAGACCCATTGGACAAGGTTTCATTTTCTCCCAAAGGTAAACTTCATATAGGCCTGAGCAAAGCTGAAAACCAACTGAACAATAGCAAGAGTATTTTAAAAGTTCAGTCCCACCCAGTCTTTATTATTGTTGTTATTGCTATTAAAATCAAAAGTATCCAAATATCAGCTTTAACAGTCATGTTCTAAAGAGGTTCTGTCGTGTGGGCATGGGGGCTCATGCCTGTAATCCAGCATTTTAGGAGGCTGAGGCAGGCAAATCACTTGAGTCCAGGAGTTTGAGATCAGCCTGGGCAACATACAAGACCTCATCTCTACACAAAATTTTCAAAAGTTAGCCAGGTGCGTTAGTTAGTGGTGGTGCGTGCCTGTAGTCTCAGCTACTGCGGAAGTTGAGGTAGGATGTCGAGGCTACAGTGAGCCATGACTGGGCCACTGCACTCCAACCTGGGCAACAGAATGAGACCTTATCTCAAAACAAACAACAAAACACAAAAAAAACCACACCTAACAAAAACGACAACAAAAGAAGCTCTATAATTTGTTGAAATGATTTCCCTGAATCAAATGTGAAATATCAGGAACAAATCACAGTACATAATAAATATAAAACGATTGTAAAAAGCTGTATTCAGTTTTTCAGAGCATTTTCATCATAAATATCTTATTTAATCTTCCAAGTAACAAGGCCAAGGTTCTGCAGATAGATAGCGTTTAGGCAAATCAACCAAGGCTTCACAGAGCTAAGGGCTGAAATGAGGGCTAAAAAATAAATTTTAAAATTAATTCCAAGCAATCTGTTTATTCTAAATCAATTTAGTGTAGTAATTTATGTGGATTAATGAGCAGAAAGAAAAGATAAAAGCAAAATGTTTCTTTAGATCACATTTTAAAATGGCACTAAGAGGTATTCGACTGAACACTCACACCTTAAACAACAAAACCACTTCAAATGCACATATTCTCTAAAAGGAAGTGTATACACAAAAATCCCAGAAGACGTTTACAGCAAAATTGTGTAGAGAATTTTTATTTACTCTGTATGTATTCTAAAACGCAAATCCAAATCTTCACTTAAGGAAAATAAAACAGGTGCTTATGGTAGAAAATGTCTTCGACTGGAAATGGCGGCTTCTTCTGAAGAGCTTTCTGAGGAGGTGACCTAACAACTGACCTGAGTGGTATGAAAGAGCCAGCATGCAGAGTTAGGGAACAAGAACATCAGGCAATGTGTACAGCAAGTACAAAGATCCTGAGGTGGCAATGAGCTGGCCAGGGAGGTTACAGCCAGTGTAGCTGTGCAGACAGAGCTATGGGAATGAGAAAAATGTTATGAAATGAAGTCTCAAGAGTTGCACCAGGTTCAGATTTCACAGAGCTTTGTGAGTCCTGGTAGGAACTAGGATTTTATTCTTGGAGGGGTGAGAAAACACTAGGGGGAGGAAGGCAAAAATGACAAAACAAAAGAAGGATGCTAACAATATTTACTACAGTCATGTGCCACTTAGCCATGTTTCAGTCTATGATAGACCATATATGGAATGATGGTCCAGTAAGATTATAATGCAGCTGGAAAATTCCTATCACTCAATGATGTTACGGCTGTCATAATGTTGTAATGCACTGCATATCTGCAGTGATACTGGTGAAAGCAAACCTACTGTGCTGCCAGTCATATAAAAGTATAGCACATAAAATTATGTACGGTACATATTTGATAGCGATAATAAAATGACTATGTTGTTGGTTTATTATTTACTTTTAATCCTCACAAAAACTCTGAGGCAGGTATCAGTGTATTTCCATGTTGCATGTGTGGAAACTGAGACTTAATGAATAATTTCCCCAAGAATTCACAGCTGTAAGTGAAACGGCCACAATCTGTACTCAGAGCTAACTCTAAAACTTATGTGCCTCCTTCCACTACCCACAACGAAACCTACCTCTAAAAAAGTTTCAAACCACATTCAAATTATACTAACTGGATGTCTGATGTAATATTTATCAGAAGCTAATAAAGTATATTAGGGTTTTTGTTATAAGTTTTATAAAATCCATAGCAAGTTTTTCAAATGCAAAATAACACAAATTAGAAGCCATTTCTCAGAGATAAGGTTACAGCATCCAAACCAAGTGTCCACAGTTTATGTATATGATACAACAAAATTCAATAAGCCCAGGATGAGTTTCAACTAATTTTCTAGCATTCTACCTGCCATGCAATAATCAACAACCAATCAGTCTCTGCCTTCTTACCTTGCCTAGCATGCGCAAGAAAACAATGGGGTTTTATGCTAACATACATAGAAAACCCAGTCAAATTAACTTAACTGCAGAGAAGAACACTTTTCTGATCCTAACAACACAAGTCCTTCAGGGAAGTTCAATGATGCTTCAGGTTGAGTTACAGCAAAAAGCCAGAGAAAATGTCAGAGAATAAACAATGAAGATTAACAAAGCATTGGTCTGGAAGCTGATACTCACACATGGCTGCCCAAGCACCCCGAATATCGCAAGCCCATCCTCTTTTAGTTTTGGCTTCATACTACAGCTTTAAAAATAGAGGAAAGCAGCCTGGTTACCCCTCCTAAAGGCGTGTTTCGCTCCAAGTTTACTTCTGACAAGGAACTGCAGCATCTAGTTCCTTTTCTGAGGGCTATTGCAATATCTTCTCAAAACCACATCACCATAATAGTGTCCAACCTTAATGAGTTCTACAAACCCAACCACAACTCTACTCAAATGGAGCTGGAGAAGCTAAATGCCAGAAAGGGGTAGGGGGTGGGGGGTAGCTAATCCACCTCAAAATGATGTATTTTAGCTATCCGTAGGGAACTCGCTGCTAGGCTAGTTATGGTCAGATATGCAATCCTGCATACCCAGGGCCACAAGATATTTTAGCACTGAAACTTAGTTTTCCTCTTTTCCTTCCTTTTTTTGGGGGGGAGGGAACATAGAACTGCCACTCTCGCCTTAATAATTAGCATAAGGAGAGTGCAAAGAAAAAGAAGGCACATCCTTGAAGCAACTACTGTCTATGAGTAATTTGCTCTAAATTTTGTGCTTTTAAACAAAAAAAGTTTTATAAGGTAATTGTTAGAGCATAAGCTGGAAAGTCAGACAGAGTTGGTTTGATTCCTTACTCTCACCTTACCATCTTTGTGATCTTGGACTACTTAAATTTCTCTGCGCTTCAATTTCCTCATCTGTAAAGTGAAAATACTAAATCTGTCATGAGGATTAAATGAATGTGAATTCAAAATGTTAGCTGTCTGGACACCCGAAACGATTGATATATTGTGACTGTGTGGTATGCTAGAGGGCTGGTATAATTCTAATGAACCAAAAAAGAAGGCAACTTCTGAGTATTAGACTTAAAAAAAAAAGAAAAAAAAGTAAGGGAAGCCTGCTTGTGGGGTAAGTGTCAAGCAACTACCCCTACAACACCTACCACAATTTACCCTCCAAAATTCTGTAAGGAAAATGGGGCTTGGTTTCCCCACTAGGTTAAGAGATAGTTACAATTGTGGGGTGAGGCTGACTAGGAAACAGTAAGTCAGAAACTGAATGGTGGTTAAAAGAGATATCATATTCATACGCACCTGAAATATTTCCAATGAATTGTCCTTCCTAGCTCTCCAAATAAAGAGATATCTAAGCTCCTAAGAACTTTATAAACATGTTCTTGTTTAATCCTAACAGATCTATGAGGTACATATTATTTTTCCCTATTTTGTAGATGAAGAAACTGAGGCCTATAAGAGATGTTAAACAATAGGGACACACCAAGTTCAGCTTTGCCATTTTTAAGGCCAAAGAGATGGATGCCTGCTGAACAAGGATTAAGTGATTACAGGGCTACCATCACTATCAGTGAGGCAGCACCACCAATACAAGAAATACTATTAAAATAAAGAGTACTATGTAAGCATTCTCTACATAATCTAAACCAGCGGTCCCCAGCATTTTTCGCACCAAGGACCAGTTTCACGGAAGGCAATTTTTCCACAGATGAGGGGGCGGGGTATGGAATGGTTCTGGGATGAAACTGTTCCACCTCAGATCATCAGGCATTAGATTCTCATAAGAAGCATGCAACCTAGATCCCTCACATATGCAGTTCACGATACGGTTTCCACTCCTATGAGAATCTAATGTCACCACTGACTGGACAGTAGGCAAGCTCAGGTGGTAATGCTCGCTCGCCCGCCTGACACTCACCTCTTGCTGTGCAACCTGGGTCCTAACAGTCCATGGACCAGTACCAGTCTGTAGCCTAGGCGGTGGGGACCCCTGATTTAAAGTACAAATCTCCTTATGTGCTTTTTATGCAGAAATTCTATTGGCCAGTTAAAGCATAAAATATGTACTATAAGAATAAAATGGTACAATAATCAGTGACTATAGAAACTGTTAATGTCATATGCAAAAACAACTAAAGAGTTTTCAAATGGATAAATAGTTTGACAGTTAAAATGAATATTAAGAGATAGTGCACCGGCTAGATAACCTTAGGAAGAACATTTTATCTTTATTAAGCCAACAAATATTTATTAAAATTTAAATGGTATAAGAATTACAGATGTTAGGCCAGGCACGGTGGCTCATGCCTGTAATCCCAGCACTTTGGGAGGCCGAGGCAGGCGGATCACCTGAGGTCAGGAGTTCAAGACCAGCCTGGTTAATATGGTGAAACCCTGTTTCTACTAAAACTACAAAAAATTGGCTGGGCATGGTGGCGAGTGCCCGTAATCCCAGCTACTCAGGAGGCCAAGGCAGGAGAATTGTTTGCATCTGGGAGGTGGAGGTTGCAGTGAGCTGAGATCGCGCCATTGCACTCCAAATTGGGCAAAAAGAGCGAAACTCCGTCTCCAAAAAAAAAAAAAAAAAAGAATTACAGATGTTAGATTATATTAAAACTCTAGATTTAACTTTTTATTAACTAGTGTTCAGAACACTAAACATTAAATAAAACAATTTTTTAAATTGTAGATATTCCATTTAGGCCATGTGTCTTTCTAGGGTAAGTTCAATTTGAAAATCATTCACATAAGAATAAAATTAAGAGCAGAATGTCAACATTGCCATCTCCAAATTTTGTAAGAAAAAATGGCCAAAATCATGTATAAAAACTATGATAAATCCATCCTGGCTAACACGGTGAAAAAACATACAAAAAAATTAGCCGGGCATGGTGGCACACGCCTGTAGTTCCAGCCACTCAGGAGGCTGAGGCAAAAGAATCACTTGAACCCGGGAGGCGGAGGTTGCAGTGAGCTGAGATCGCACCACTGCACTTCAGCCTGGGTGACAGAACGAGACTCCGTCTCAAAAAAAAAAAAAAAAAGGCCAAAAAAACGATGATAAATTATCCTCAATCCTGATATAAATGTATTTTTAAAAGTGTTAGGAAAAATATCAGGTACCTCAAATACATTTTGTTTTCATTAATAAAACAAAATAGGCTTTAAGAAGAATACTTAAGAATACTGCGCCTTATTTATGTCTATGGACATTAAAGATTTAAACAAAACCTTGTCAAAATGATTATTATACAATGATAACCAATTTCAGCAGCTAAAAGATTTTTGTGATTCATTAAATCCAGAATCCTAACACAAAATTCCTTCTAGAACATGTTACTGAAAAACTTCCCTGAATTATAACTGTCTGTAGTTCAACTAGATAGAGGTCTTACTGATGTGCCAGGACAAGTTGTATATGCTGTTTAATGAATCAAGAACAATCTAGAAGTTGGTAATGCTGAGAAACTGTTCTCCTACTATAAGGTTAAACTTTCAAAACAGAACAGGCAGATATTAATAAATGCATAGGATTGGTTGTATTTTTTTACTACCTCATATTTATTCTTGTATCGCGTAACTTCATTCTATGCTGGTGATATTCTGCTCCAGCCAAATAATGGTTTTAGTGAAAATGTTTATTCAACACACCTAGTTTTTTTCTTGTTTCTCTAATCACTTTCCTTGTTTCCCCAATCACTTCTATTTCTGCCAATAATAAATGCAGGTAAAATGTTCAAGTCATTCTTTCTATTGGTATGCGTTTAAGAAAACTTTAGAATTGACCAAGTAAAAATCACATGTAGCTTTTAAGAGCAGAAGGTGCTATCAACTGATCCTTCATTTTCTCACACCTGACTATCAAGCCCTATACTCCAGGTCTGTATTTTCTTCCACTTAAGCCTGAAGTGAAGTCAGAAACAAATCACATGCTGTTGCCATAGATAATTTGTTACCACAGATCAAGTAGTGTAATTTCACAACTCTGACCACTCTGAAGTCTAAATGTTATACGGCAACCAAGAACAAACACATACCTTGCTCAGTACATATGTGTCATTCTGCAGGGAGAGAAAAGAAGTTTATAGAAACACAAGATGCTTGGAATGGCTCTGTGATTCCAACCAACTTTAAATTCCTACCCATCTTCTTAGAAAGCCCAAGGGAGTTTGTAAAAGTTCACAGGACTTGGAGTTACAACCTGGTTCAAATTATTCCTCCATCACTTACCAGCTATGGCTATTACATTTCCTTGTGCAATGGAGATAAAACGCCCACCTTCAAAGGGCTGGGGAGAGGATAAAGATATGAGAATTTACACAAAATACCTAGCAACGAATACAATAAATTGCTCTATAAGTACAATATTATCTTCAGAAAGTACATTTTGCAATTTTCTAGCATGTTGCCAGATAGGCAATCCTGAGATTACTAGTTAAATGGTTTAAAAAATACAAAATGTCAAAATGCTTAAAGTTGTCCAGCTGAAAACTTAGGGGGAAAAAAAGGCACTGAGAACCAGAGTTATTAACCATCATAAATTAATTAGGTTAAAAGCCTGAAAATGCTACCAAACATGCCTCCTCACAAAATTCTATGAATAAATCCAAATACAACCTAAAGACAGGTTGTGAAAAGAGCGACTAACTATACGGCCTTGGACAAGCTGCTTTAGCCTCCCCGAGGTTTGCTGAGGGGTTTTAAATGAAAACGCAAGTAAAGCACCAAGGTAGTACTGTGCATAATACAAAGCAGGTATTCAATATTCAATAAATGTTAGTCTCCTCCCCCATTCTCTAGTTTCCACTCAGTTCTACAACCTTATCTTTACCAAGACACAAAGACCTAGATCACACAATGACAAAGGAAGTCAGATACAAAGGGATGGACAGACTGATGAATGGGAATTTGGCCAGATGTCAAGTTATCCCAAATCCTGCCTCTCTGGTTATTATTTTTAAGGTATGTCTGTACATTTGTTTCATCTTTTGCTTTACTATGCAAAAGCAAAGTCTCCAAACTTGTTTTGCACCAGATGGGCTACTGAGGACCCACTTGTCAAGTACCTGAAGAGGAATCTAAAAGGGCAAAATTACTATGTTGGCAGAACATCTTGCTCAATAGCACTTGGTTCCATTGTGAAATATGTATTCTTGAGTAGTCACTCCACCACCTAACCCTACACCTAGGTTTCAAGCGCAAGTGTCTTGTAAGAAGGACTTGAGAGCTTACAGGCACAAACCCTTTGAGAGGGGCCAATAGTGCCCACTACAGTAAATCATGACTGAGTACCTAGAGCTTGTCAGGCTGGGTCTGTGTTCAACATTCACATGTGTCCCCTCAATCTGGACAGATCGGTGCACTTTAGGTTCTGTTACTTTGCAACCTTGTGAACCGAGACCTTGGGCAAGTCACTTTACCTCTCTGGCCTCAGTTTCCTCAATTATAAAACAGAGATGGCCAGGTGCAGTGGCTCACGTCTGTAATCCCAGCACTTTGGGAGGCCAAGGCAGGCGGATCACGAGGTCACGAAATCGAGACCAGCCTGACCGACACGGTGAAACCCCGTCTCTACTAAAAATTCAAAAATAAGCCGGGCGTGGTGGCGTGCACCTGTAATCCCAGATACTCGGGAGGCTAAGGCAGGAGAATCACTTGAACCTGGGAGGTGGAGGCTGCAGTGAGCCGGAATCATGCCACTGCACTCCAGCCTGGGTGACAGCAATAGTCTGTCTCAATCAATCAATCAATCAGAGATGACAATACTTACCATATGTAAAATGGTAGCTTAAATGTAATCAACCATACTTTAAAAGTCATATAATGGGTAATATAAATGTACAGTTATTATAGTAAGAACCTTGTTTTCCTCAAAAAACATATAGACTAGAAACCATATAACCCTTTACATTTAAGAGTCATTTAATACTGTACCCTAGTAGCCTCGTCCTGAGTCTCTTCTTTCTCTCTGCCAAATTTTTGTAGAGGGAAGAATATGGGCCTTGGCATTCCACAGCTGTCTGTGTAACAGTAGCTCTACAATTTTCTATATAGCCTTGGACTAGTTACTTTAATTATCTGAGCCTCCATATTTCTCCCGCAAAACACAGATAATGCCTATTTCACGAGGTTGATATAAGGTTGAAATGAAACAATATCTGTAATGTACCAACCATGGTTTCTAGTGCAGTATAGGCATTCAATAAATGAAGATTTGTTCAGCTGATACTAAAAATAAGATGACATTTATGAGGACAAATATGTTTAAACTGGCTCTTATGGCAACTGAAATATTTCAGCACTTGTATGCCACCACTCCAGAGTTGAAATTCTTAAAATAAATACTCTTCTTATAAGGGTGGAAGGACTGTAAATGATTTTTTATCCATCTAGAATTCCTTGTTCCATTAATCTACAGGCATCAACATCACAGCATGTATCAAAGGGCCAAACTAATTTTATTTAAAGTAGTATCTATTACACTAGGGAATAATTTCCAACCTACATCAAGTCCCTACATCAAGTCCTACATCAAGTAGGGACATTCAAATGATGCTTAAAATACTTCAAGATTCTGGTAAAATTTCCCTGAAGTATGAAAAACTGACATAGGCATTAGAAGGAAAAGAAAATTAAAGAAAGGGAAATGGGGGTAACATTTATGTCAATCACTGAGTTATGCTCTCTACATGAATTGTTTATTTCTCAAAGCAACCCATTGAAGACAGTCCTCTTCTTCTTCTTGTGAGACCAAAAAAAAAAAAAAAAAAGGCACTGAGGTTTGGAGAGGTTAAGTGAATCACCCAAGATAAATAATACAGTTTCACAGAAGTAGACCCTGGATTCAAAACCAGCCAGTCTAACTACAATTCTCCAATCTCTCTACTAACTTTAATTCACAGAGAACTACAAGAAATATTACAAAACAAGATATCTGGTAGACCGATCAACTGGAATTTGAGTTTCATTGATCAGTTAACTCTAATTTTACTGATGTCATTATTATTATTAATATATAAGAAATGTTCAAATAGAGTATCTTAGAGTTTAACAAAGTATTTGCACCAATCTTTTTTTAGTTAAAATAACCTTGTGATGTAGGCAGAACAGGTATTATCATTAAGAGAGGGGAAACATGAGACTCAGTGGATAGGTGACATTTTCCAAGTCACACTAACTACTAAGTAGGCAAGCTTAGATTTTTATTAAGCTTTTAATCCGTAAGCAGTTCTACCATACTATACTACCATCTTTCTCCAAGAAGAAATATTTATGCACCTTTATTTGCTCCACAAAAATAACCAGAATCTGTATGACAAATAAGCCCTAATTTTTCATATTGCATACACTAAAGGCTGGGTTATCATCCAGGAAGTAAATAGCAATATCCTTTATTTATGAGATGAAGAAATCAAGGCTTAGCAAGGAAAGTTTGCAAATGGCAGAGCCAAAATGCAAACCTAGGTTTGACTTCCAAGTTTGCACACCTAGTCACTAGCTGGAGCCTCCTCTTACTCTCAAGCTCCCTCATACCCCCAACATGGGTGATCCAAGTCCCAAGATTTCTACTTTGAGATGTGTGAGTAAGAGATCAGCCAGATCCAATAACATCTGGCTCTAATATTTTCTTCTTAGATAACTACAATGCCACGCTCATCTGATATTGTCACTTCCTAGCATTCATGACACCAAGAGCCTGCAAACTGGGGTCTTTACCTATTCTCTCCATTACTAACTAGTTAGGTGACCATGGGTGGGGTCTTCAAATCAGAGGAGATGATTGTCCAACTAAAGGAAAAGTAGGCCTACATGTTTTGGGTACTCTTCTGGGGCTAAGATTTCTCAGGCAAGACAGAAAATTAAAGAAAGGGAAATAAGAGATAACATATATGTCAATCACTGAGTTATGCTCCCTACATGAATTCTTTCATTTACTTAGAGTGAAACTTAAATACAATGTATTTAAGATGAATTTTCAGATCACAAATGCATTCATATTCATAATGTAAGATCTAAATATAAGCTAAAGTGAAACAGCAAGTCAACAAAAGCTCTGCCTTCCCTAACACTGAACAAAGTGAAAGTTAACAATCATGGGTTACAAAAAAGGGAAACTGTAAAAAAAATGTCCTGAGTAGTTATTACTATCTGGTAGGATTTAAAATAAAGTTCAAGTGTTTTCTAAAGGGATAGGTCTTAGAGAATCCTTATATGTCCAAGAATGGCTAATCATAATTTTCGCAGAAGTAAGACTTGCTTTATCAAAATAGACTGGCAATCAAAATAAGCCTTGAACAAAGAAACACAAAAAGAACTTGGGCCCTAACCAGCACAAGGCTCCCCACACCCCACTTAAAAATTAAAAAGCAAAAAACAAGGTAAAGCACCAAGGAATTAAAACAACAAATGTACTTGGGAAGGGCTATAAATGGGGTTAAATAAGCTTGACTTTTCAGTAAAGTGTAGAATGCAACTAGTTATTCAATAAATGTAAAATATACATAGCCATACTTCAATTTCATACTAACTGAAAAGAGGCAATAAAAGAGGCCGGCTTATATGTGGACAATTTCATTTTTAAAAAGCAGGGTGGGGAAGAAGATACCCAAACTATTAGAAAGATAGCATCATGGCTGGGCGCGGTGGCTCACGCCTGTAATCCCAGCACTTTGGGAGGCCGAGGTGGGTGGATCACGAGGTCAGAAGTTCGAGACCAGCCTGACCAACATGGTGAAACCCCGTCTCTACTAAAAATACAAAAATTAGCCGGACATGGTGGCGCATGCCTGTAATCCCAGCTACTCAGGAGGCTGAGGCAGAAGAATTGCTTGAGCCTGGGAGGCAGAGGCTGCAGTGAGACAAGATCGTGCCACTGCACTCCAGCCTGGGCTACAGAGCAAGACTCCATCTCAAAGAAAAGAAAAAAAAAAAAAAAAGAAAGATAGCATCATACATTGTGGCGATTCTTAACTTTCTACAAACCCCTTCGTGAATCTCACCAACAAATGCTTTATTCAGAAAAACATGTGCATAAACCTTTATAATTTCAAGAGATACAGACCCCATGAAGTCTATTCTTGGGCCACTTTTTAAGAATCCCAGGAGTGGAAGGAAAGAGCTCTGGACAGCTTTTGGCTTCTATTTCTGGTCATACCACCTTGTTATCTTCATCCAACCACTTTGTCTCTCTGGATCTCAGTTTCATCTGTTAAAGATGATCTTTTCTTTTTAAGGCTGTAGTATTCCGTTATATGAATATACCACATTGTCCATTTATCTGTGATGGACATCTAGGTTGTTTACACTTTTGGCTGTGTGTGTGTGTGTGTGTGTGTGTGTGTGTGTGTGTGTTTGGTAACAACAATTATATAAATTTATTTATGGGGTACAGTGTGATGTTTTAATCTATGTATATACCATAGAAAGATAAAATCAACCTAAGTAACATATCCATCATCTCAGCTACTTATTTTTTTGTGGTGAGAAATACATTCTTTTTTAGCAATTTTGAAGTACGTATTGTTTTTCTGACACGTTACAACATGGGTGAACCTTGAGGACATTAGCTATGTAAAAGACAGACACAGAAAGACAAATGTTGCATGATTTCACTTATATGAGGTACCTAGAATGGGCAAATTCTTAGAGACAGAAAGGAGAACAGAGGTTATCAGGGGCTGGAGAAAAGGAAGTTCAGTTTGGGTGATGACAAAGTTCTGGAAATAATAGTGGTGATGGTTACGTAACTCTGTGAGTGTTGTGATGGTACTGAATGCTACTGAATGCTGTCCCTAAAATTTACTATTTTAACCATTTTTACGTTATGTATATAGGAAAAGAAAGGGGAAGGAAAGGAGAAAAGAAAACCAATAACAAAATGATCATTCTTGATTCTTTAACAACTGAAATTCTACCAAATTCTACTAGAATCACTCTCACACTGAGTGATTTGGGACAATCGCCCCCTTTCCATTTTTTAATCGCTAATTATGACTCAGAACTTTTTCTAAGCTTCACAACAGTAACATCCCAGAATTCAAGTTAAGAGCTAGATCTGCAGCAAGGTGCTCATCCTCTCCTATCAGGGTCCTCTATTGGTGATTTCTCAGGTTGGTTTTCCCTTACCAATCTCCCTTCAAAAGGAGGTAAGTGGCTTTCCCACATGTAACAGAAGTAGTACTTTTAAAGTAAGCAAAAAAAAGTCAAAGAACAAACACACTCTAGTTTCCTTAAAGCTGTGCTGCAATAACAGTCTTGTGACATCCCCTCCAAGGATATAATGAAGCTGTTGTAATCACTTTATTTCCCCATTTGGATGGCAGTCCTTAACCAACTCTGCTTCCCAGCAAAAATCAAATTTAGAGGAAATGCATTTGAACTTCACAATAGTTATGCAGAGTTAACTGTTTCAACTTCTGAAACAAGGCCTCTCTTCCTGAGGCCATGAGGCTAACCGTAGAATGAATCCAATCATTGGCCAGATGGGAAGTGTGAAGGAGTAGAATGTATCACTCCCTGGAATACTGTCTTAGGAGAGCTCAGGTATCCAAAGCTCATTTGAGATAAGTGCCCCTCCTACCACCACTGTATCTGTAGCACCCATCAGAAAGCTTTCTGCAAAGAACTGTCTGTCTAGCGTGATGGGGAAAGGTATAAGCCTGGCAAGTGAATCAAGAAAAAGCTGTTTACATAACCGTAAGTAGCACTACATTCTGAGGTCTCTTTTTGGTCCTTCCAGACTATATACACAGTTAAAAATGGTAAAACATAAAGCACAACTAAATTAAATCTGGCATGAGCAAAATATCTGAGAATTTGCTAATACTGACTCAATTTGCACAGGTCCCTCAATTGCTAAAGAACATAGATCCAATGGGTTTATACTTGTTCAGATAATGTGGTGGAAAAGATAATGATGATAACCACAAAACTAATAAAAATGTATTAAACAACAGAAACTATTCTTGAAACTTCTTTATATAAACATTCCAATAAAAACTTTTGGCTGCTCTAGTGTGTTTATTTCTTTATTTATACAAGAATAAAAGAGCGCTCTTCAAATGTTTTGACTAACAACCTTCCTCTAGAGAACTCTTTAAAGAGTCAGGACATATAATAATTGAGCCCAAAAACAGACAGGATTTCCTACTGCACATTTCCAGGACAATTCAGTTGCTTTTTATTGCTGTTCATATGAAGAAACCACTGCTCTCAAATTTTATTCACAGAAATTACATTCAATCCAAAACTTAATTGTTTACAATATTTTCTGTATGCAATTATAATATGGAAGTACTGGTTTCTAATTAACTCTTTCAAGTCTTAAAGACATACCAGAAAAAAATATATGATATAGGAAATCTGTTTCCTCTTGTACTAAACCAGGATAAACTGTATACATTGGTAATGTTATGCTACCTCCACAGACAAGGCTCATTCTGACTTTTGAGTAAAATAGTAAAATATAAGAGATAAGAATTGAAGAAGGCAGGCAGGCAGACGAGAGAGAAAATGGTTAACACGACTTACGTTTCTCTCTCAGACAATGAAGTGGTTAGCAGGAGCAAGCTTACAAACCTCCAGCAGAAGGCAAGATACAGAGCTGAGGTTTTAATTTGCGGCAAACACACAATGAGATGCCAAGTGGGTGGTACTCCTATGAATCGGGGGTGGGGCTGGGGATGAGAGGAGGGAAATAAGGCAGAAGGAGCACTTACTCGGTTAGAAGCTGGTGCAGCTTGTGATAGCCTCGCTCCAAGGCCAAGCTCACAGGCGTCGCCCCTTCCTGGTTGTGGATACTGAGAGCTCCGCGGCCACCTGGCTTCTGCAACAGGAACCACGTCAACCTCAGCAGTCCCAGCCGCACAGCAAAATGCATCAATGTCTCTCGCGGGCCAGCATCTGTAAATGGGGGAGAAAATGAACGTAAGTGAGGAAAATATAAAAACAAAAAACAAACAAACATAAAGACAAGTTATGTAAACACCACTGCCTCCAAGTGCCTAAGATTGTAAAGTTAAGCTACAACATACAGTGTGAACAGCTTTATTGTGGCCAGGTAGAATCAGCCCTCAAGTAAAGGCAAAACAAAGCTACAAAAGCATAGAAAGTATAGGAAGCAAAATCTTCAATCGAACACAGTCCTGCAAAAGAGAATCAGGACATTTCTATATTCTGACTTAATACACAGTGTTTGTTCAACCAATTTCACAGGCAGGCATATAAAGGCGACCCATACACACGTTCTTTTACTCAAATAATAATAACAGAAGCAAATGCAGCCCCACAACATGAGGTCCAAGAGGGAATAGCTGTTGGGACTTAAATGGGTGTATCATAAATGGTATAATTACTTTTTAAAAGAACACCCAGACAGGAGTTGGCTAGTTAAACACTAAAAACAGGTTCTGCTTGTTCAGTACACATGGGTCTTTTTATTCCTACACAATAAGGGCAAATCAAATTTCTGGCACTGCCAGCTTTATTTATTTGTTTAATGAGAGGAAGAAATGCATCTCCTGGCACAATAAGGAAGACTAACTCTAAGACAATCCACTAATAACTGCAGAAAGGAAAACGTTTATTTAACTTGAAATAAAGGCTCCCTCTTAGTAAAGTGAGTCACTCTGAAAGTGACAGAATGAGGAAGGGCTTGTAGTTAGACAAATCAGGGTTCGAATCTGGCATTTACCATCTGTGTGACCAAGCGTGATTCATGTAACATCTCTGAACTTCACTTTCTTCATCCCTAAAGTGAGATACCAACACCTCACTCACAGAGGTGTAACAAATGAGAAGAGGTAGATGAAATGCTAGTATTATGACTGGCTGTAGTAGACATTCATTAAATCCCAGTTCCTCTCTGTTTCCCGGCTCTCTTCACTGTCCTCTTGGACATCAAATTACATTCAAGGTTCACTAGCAATACTCTCTTCCTTCAGCAGTCCTCAGTGCCCAACCTAGGATGACAGGAGCTGAGGTCTTTGCAGGGATGCCACATATAGCCCCACAAGGCTGTACTACACTTAACTCCAGGGAGCTGGGAATGGCACCCTGAAGTTGTGCCTGCCTCAGCTTAGCTATCATCTCTTTCTTCATGGCCTCCCACGGGTCTAAACTTCTTCACTAAGCACTCGGACTTTTTGGACCCCAGTGGTTTTCTCCTTACTGTGAAGTCCTCAAATGCTTCTATACGTGAATATCACAAAGGAATGAACAGATTTTTGAAGCTGTGATTTTACACTGAATTACACTGTTTCCAAATGTCATCTGTGTATTAGTCTGGTATCCCTATTTCCAAGGTAAATTTCCTTGGAAGCACAATTTTTCATATTGTATATTTTCCCTACAGAACTGTATATGCATAGACCAATTCAGGATTTAAAGGGTGTTTAACCAGAGGCACATGGCTGGAAAGATTATGCCCCAGAAGCAACAACTACATGTGCAGGTACAAATTTTAATAATCAACACCTCTGCGCAGATGGCAAGGCCAGACAAAAGGACAAATAGAATCCTCACAAAAGATCAAATAGCACCATCTAACTTTTGCCTTACAGTTGTTCTGACATCCTTATCAAGAACAAAGAGCTAATGAGGCACTAACTAGGAAATACCTGATTCTTTAGAGGCTAGTTATTTCCAACCTTGAAGCAGCTGTCTCTTTACCACCCTCCCACAACCACTCTTCTGATTTGTTATTTGTTCTGAGTCAGCTCAGCATTTCAGTAGAAATCCCAATACTACAGCCACACGCCTGCTCAGAAGCTGATGCCCTGACTTCTGCACTACATCCTCTCTCAATTTCTGAAAGTCTTAGCAACTGGTACCACATCTGCTTTTGTGTAGACCCTTTCTGAGGATAACAGATTAGGAGAAAACAATGTAGTGCTATGCACCATGCACTGGGCTAGGCAGTTTATGTCAACTTTTTCCATTCTATCTTCTCAGTAACCCTATGAGGTCTGGTTATCTTCATTGTGCAAATGAAGGCAGATTCATAGAATTAATAGCTTGCCCACAGTCAGATCAGGATTTAAAATCAAAAGTTCTTCTGTCTTGCATTAAACAAACAAACAAACAAAAAACCTTTTCCATTACTCCACCCTGTTTCTTTTTGCTAGGAAATAAAACCACAAATACAAAAACAAGCAATCATACAAGCAAGCTAAACTAATGTGGTTTAAAAAGCACCTTTTTATGTTTTCTTCCAACATTTTATTAACTTTTCCAACATACACATAGTTCAAAGAATCACACAGCAAATAGCCAGACACTCACTCAACAACCTAGATCCTACAATTAATGTTTTTCTATATTTGCCTTATCACATATATATCCAACGATTCTTCCTTCTATTTCCCCATCGATCCACCTTATTTTTATGCATTTCAAAATAACTTGAAGATATCAGTCCACTTCACCCCAAAATACTTCAGCATGCATATAATTAACTAGCATTCAATATGTAGTTACAATTTTAGGTGATTTATATACAATGAAATACATATGGTATAGTATACCCATTTGATAAATTTTGACAAATGCATATACACGTGAACCCAAATCTGTACCAACATATAGAAAATTACCAATATCCAAAAAAGTTCTTTTGTGCCACTTTCCAGTTAATCCTCTCCTCCTCATTCAGAGTTAACCATTGTTCTGAATTTTTCACCTACATTAGTTTTGCCTGTTCTACAACTCCATATAGATGAAATTATAGAATATACACTCTTGTGTAAGGCTTCTTCGATGAGCATGTTTGAGATTCATCTACATTGCTGCATGTAGCAGTAGTACATTCTCTTTTACTGCTGAGTAGTCCACCGCATGCATATACCCCCAGTTTTAGGTATTCTCCCATTAATTTCTCACACATTTTTATTTGATTCAGGGGTCATGTGAATTAGGTTTGTAGAAGAGGCCAAGGTGCAAAGGGATAAACGAATATATGAATTTAGTTTCCTTTAGTCTGTGTTGTTTTAAGAGCATGAAAGCTTCCATCACTGCTTTCTTCCTTTTGTGTTTAAACTGCAGAGCTCAATCATTTAGGATCAATCTCTGTTCCCTTTTCTCTGCATCAGTACTCCTCTGTAATCTGAGTTACTCAACTTCATTTTTTTAGATCACTAATGGCCTTTCCTACAGTGTCAACTGAGTCCTTTGTCCCCAGTGTGAATTAACTGTGCTTTAGGATTGTGGATGGCTGCATCATTTTTGCCAACTCACTCCCCTTCCATCCTTGTCGTCATAATAATAGCTTTGCCGCAGATGTAATTAAAGCCCCTAACCAGTTGATCTAATAAGGGAGGTTATCCTGGATTATGTGGGCAGGATAATCCCACTGCATCAACTGGAAGGCTCTGAAAGCAGGTCTTAGATTTCCCCTGGAGAGAAGGGATTCCATTCCACCTGTGGAGGACAGCACTAGCCTGTGCCTGTGGAGCTCCATCCTGCCCACGATCTTCCCTTCCTCACGTGATATTTTGGCCCATGTTGGTGGACTGACTTTTGCCCATGATCTTCCCTCCCCCTCCTGCCCTACAAATTTTGGACTTATTAGCCCTCACAATCAAAGGCGCCATTCCTTGTAATAAATCTCAACATATTATTTCTCTTAGTGGTTCTGCTTCTCTACTTGAACACTGACTCATAAAACCTACTTTTCTCCTTGCTGTCTCCTTCTCTAATTTCATAATAAACCTGATTTTATTGAGCTCTTTAAAGGGCAAATGGGAAATATCATCTACATTTTTTTGTTTCTTACAGAAAGCATACTCAGAAAATCTTCCATCTGAATACTTATGATACTTTTCCCTTTTCTTTATGCTGTAATGTTATTCCATAGACCCCATGTTGGCTGGTTATCCTGTTTAACCATACTTAATTGGAAAGATCTCTGTAGGCTTAGCCTCTACCCACAGAGAAGGAAGGCAGAAAATGTCTCACATCCTGCTTTCTATTTACTTATATGCTGGACACACCTGTCACACACCTTCCCTCAGATCTGCAAAAAAGTTGATGTGCCTAGTAGGCATTCAAGCATGATGAGCCTGCTAGAGGGTTGTATCTTTTATAAATGGTCAGATTCTCTAAGTAAAATGTTCTAAGTTCTGAGATCAGTACAATAATCAAGGACTACTCTCCTACCCCATCAATCCCCCCAGCAAGCCCAGCTTACAGTACTCTTTGAATCTATACCTATGATTCCAAAATCACCATTCTTTGTACTATTCTGGACTACCTCTTAAAAAACCTAAAGTCCCACATGATGCAGGAATTCTCAGCTGCATGTGAAAGGAAGGAGAACAGGCCACTGTGAGAAAATGCAGTTGTGGAAAAATGAGACCTGTAACCTTGTAACAAAAACAAGGTTTCAGAGGCAACAAAACCTTTTGGAGCTCAAGTCCTACCACTACTAGTCTTGGGATCAATAAATATTAATCTTCTGCCAAGGGGAAAAAAAAACCACTAGCAGTTTTAAAATATGTTGTTATTTTCTTTTCAGCAGTGATGACAGCTGAAAAAATACACAAACACAGGCCAGGCACAGTGGCTCATGCCTGTAACCCAGCACTTTGGGAGGCCGAGGCGGGAGGATCATGAGATCAGGAGATCGAGACCATCCTGGCTAACATGGTGAAACCCCGTCTCTACCAAAAAATACAAAAAATTAGCCTGGCGTGGTGGCGGGCACCTGTAGTCCCAGCTACTCAAGAGGCTGAGGCAGGAGAATGGTGTGAACCTGGGAGGCAGAGCTTGCAGTGAGCTGAGATCGCACCACTGCACTCTAGCCTGGGGGACAGAGCAAGACTCCCTCAAAAAAAAAAAATACACAAACACTAATGTAGCTACGAAAAAATATTTATGAAAAGCTATCAAGGCCGGGCGCGGTGGCTCAAGCCTGTAATCCCAGCACTTTGGGAGGCCGAGGCGGGAGGATCACGAGGTCAGGAGATCGAGACCATCCTGGCTAACACAGTGAAACCCCGTCTCTACTAAAAATATAAAAAATTAGCTGGGCGTGGTGGCGGGCGTCTGTAGTCCCGGCTACTCGGGAGGCTGAGGCAGGAGAATGGCATGAACCTGGGAGGCGGAGCTTGCAGTGAGCTGAGATCACACCACTGCACTCCAGCCTGGGCGACAGAGCGAGACTCCGTCTCAAAAAAAAAAAAAAAAAGAAAGAAAAGCTATCAAACACTCTGAAAGGAGGTGGGAACTGAATCATCAAATGATTATGGTGGGCGACCTATTAACCAATATCAGATGTATAGAATTGGGAATACACAGGCTGTTCTTACTGCAGTTTTTCCTAAACCTGTCTTCCACCTCTCCACCCAAATTTCTCTTTGAGGGGAGAATTCTTGCCCCCAAAGATGATCAGATCTCTTTTTCACTTGGTTATACAATATCATGAGTAAATAAGAATGAAGATTCCCCCAGGATGTTTCTCCCTGCTTCCTCTAGAGCAAGTCTGCAGTGGGCCCACCCTACATTACCTGGGAGTTATGCTGACGGCTACTGCACAAGGGTCTCTCAGGGAAAACACCCCCCTAGCTTACCATTTTCACTAACCACCGAGCTGAGAAACTAAGTGAGACTTGGAAAACTCAGAGAAAAAAATGTCCTTACCCCACCATTCACGCCACACCCAGATGAATCCTTATCACCTGCATTTAAGGCAGAACTGTGGCAAACAGTACAATGTGTAGAAGCTTGTTTATATAATTAGGGATGAGAGAACATTTGGAAGATTTAAAAGGACAAACTCCCTCCTGTTCATATTTAAAGTGAAGATTAATTTTTGTAACAAGTAAAACATCAATGTTTTGTGTCTCCAAATGGTACATTCAAAATGAATAGCTTATAAACTAGCACACATTATCAGAATACACTTTCCCCCATTTCACAGATGAGGAAATTAAGTAACAGAGAGATTGAGTATTTTGCACAAACTCTTGCAATGAAGCCAGGATGCAAACAAACTGACTCCAATGCCCCTGCTTTTCCCACTTTGTAAGAGCAAAGTTAAACCCAGAATTCTTAACTTTATGCTCATGCCTGAAGTTCAGGGAGACTTAAGAAATTTATCATATGTAAATGTGTGCACATAGGCACCTATAAACATTTTTTTCTGAGGAGAAATCTGAGCAATTTCCAAAGGAGTCACTGACCTGAAGAAAGCTAAAAAGCACTGCAACTAAACAATTAAAACAGTAGGAGGATTAGCCATAAATCTTACATAAACTACTTTGTCTAAGTATTAGGCTAGAATATCTCTAAACATCCTAGCTTTCAACAGCAAGAAGTCCTGTTATGTAACAAGGTGCCTTATTTACCTGTATTACCTCAGGCATCATGGTTACTTTGTACCTTTCTCCTTTAAATACCTATTTAAAAGTATTTATGTGCAACTCATTGATGTGAACAGACTATTCCATTACATTTGTCCCTCAACAGCAGGCGTGATGAACTCTTAACTGATGCTTCTCTCCCTTACTGTACCCAGTGTTCCCAGATTCTAATCATCAATTAATAGAACAATTTAAACTGCAGAATGTGAACTGAGCACAGAAAATCAGATTCCTCATCCCAGTTGTTGACTTAAAGACACTTCTATCAAGTCACTTGCATGCATTTCACCTTGCAAAGTATACAACTTACACAATTTCTTTTGTTATTTTATTATTTTAAATATATGTACAATAAAATTCACCTTTAGGGGATGTACACTCCTATGAGTTTTAACACATGCATAGATTCTTACAGCCACCACCACGAACAAGACAAAACAACTCCAACAACCCAAAGAATTCCCTCATGATACCTCTTTCCAGTCAGACTTCCCCCACTCCCAGCCCCTAGCAACTACTCATCTGTTCTCTTTTTCTATAATTTTGCATCTTCCAGAATATCATATAAATAGAATCACATAGTATGGAACCTTTGGAAACTGACTTCATTTTCCCGCATAATGCATTTAAAACACATCCAAGTTGTTGCACATGTCAACAGTTTGCTTCTTTTTATTGCTGAGTAGTATTCCACTGTATGGATATATTATAGTTTGCTTCTGTATTCACTCAGTGAGGGAAATCTGGGTTATTTCCAGTTTTTGAAGATTATGAATAACATTACTATGAGCACGTCCGTGCACAGACTTTTTGGTGACTACAGATTTTCATTTCTCTAGGATAAACACCCAAAAGTGGGATTACTGGGTCATACGCTAAGTGTATGTTTAACTTTACAAGAAACTGCCAAATATTTCTAGAGTGGTTATACATTTTGCATTCCTACAAGCAACATATGATATGTTCTTCATCTTTGCCAGCACTTGGTATTCTTCATCTTAGCCATTATGATAAATGTGTAATGATATCTCATTGTGGTTTTAATATGTATTTCCTTCCTCAAGTGTTCAAATTTGGTTTGGCCTTTGTTAGCACTGCTTGAGCAATTTTGTGCAACAGAAAATTTACCAGTACACTGACAGTACAAAAAAAAATTAAAGCTGGCCAATTCCCTCCTATTAAAGACAAGGAAGTTAAGGCCCAAAGAGAGGAAGTGGCCGGGCACAGTGGCTCACGCCTGTAATCCTAGCACTTTGGGAGGCTGAGGCGGGTGGATTGCCTGAGCTCAGGAGTTCAAGACCAGCCTGGGCAACATGGTGAAACCCCGTCTCTACTAAAACACACAAAAAAGCAGCAGGGTGTGGTGGCATGTGCCTGTATTCCCAGCTACTTGGGAGGCTAAGGCAGGAGAATCGCTTCAACCCAGGAGATGGAGGTTGCAGTGAGCCGAGATTGCACCATTGCACTCCAGCCTGGGCGACAGAGCAAGACTCTATCTCAAAAAAAAAAAAAAAAAAGAGAGAGAAAGAGGAAGTGATATGTCCAAAGTTTCAGATGTTTGCTTTTTCTAATAGTTGTTTTTAATCATGGCAACATAAAACTATCCAACTCCTGGGCCCCTCTTTAAACAAGACAAAACAAAACCATAAAACACCATAAGCCCCACAAATAACTAATGCAGTACTATCTTGACACTGATTTGTGAAAGGCAGCCAGAATAAACATTCCTGTATCAATACAGAAATAGGAGGAGCTAGAGGTATTAAGGCCCATCACCAGGTTTATATAAGGCATGAGTGCCTTTTCAGAATGTCAAATATTCTGATCTCTAAATATTAGCAAGACAGAAGTTTCTTGGACACTATACTTAAAAAAAGAAGAAGAAAAGGATAAATCCTTTCTTCCTTGATTTGATACTTCCTTTCAGGTTTTACCTGGGCAGGACTATCCAGGTAGAATCTGACAGTATGCACCTGACAGTATGGGACACCGTTCTGACGGCTGACCACAGGTTTAACTGTTAAATTTAGTGTAGATTTAAGAGAATCAAAGCTGGCAAAGACCTCTTTACCATTCTTCCATGGAAGAAGACAAAATTCATCTGAGTGTAGAAACTAACTATGCTATGGCTCAGGCCCCTCTGGGTATTTCTCCTCAGGAACTGCTCACCTGTGGGGAGAGTGACTTGTGGTCTGCTTACCCAAAATAATTCAATACTCAAGGCTGGGTGGACTCTACAGGGCAATGGTGTGACTGACCAGCTCTTTCATTGAAGACATAGAAAGTACAAGCAGACCCTTCTGGCAGGAGCTCTAACATCAGGCTTCCAATCTAGATTTCATCAGTAATAAACATTTTGGTTTCTATCTCAGGACTCCCAAATCGTTCAATTGGACTTGAACTCAGAAGGGAAACTGGATGTTACTTATTGAACTCCAGGTACACATTATGTTTCATTAAAAAATATCTATACAATTATGACATCAAGTAGATGTCATTGGCTACTAGAATTATGTGGGAAAACCCTTGTTTGAGTAAGAGGACTTACTATGTAAATATTTTTGAAAAAGTGGAGTTCTGGCCGGGCGCAGTGGCTCATGCCTATAATCCCAGCACTTTGGGAGGCCGAGGTGGGTAGATTACCTGAGGTCAGGAGTTCGAGACCAGCCTGACTAACACGGTGAAACCCTGTCTCTAATTAAAAAAAAAAAAAAATTTGCTAGGCATGGTGGTACATGCCTGTAATCCCAGCTATTTGGGAGGCTGAGGCAGCAGAATCACCTGAACCCAGGAGGTGGAGGCTGCAGTGAGCCGAGATCATGCCACTGCACTCCAGCCTGGACTACAAGAGTGAAAGCCCGTTCTCAAAAAAAAACAAAAAACAAACAAAAAGTCCTTTCTTCAGTGAACTCTCATAGGGAGGGCCAACAGATAAAGTCAGTAAGAGTGACACTAACCTGGTTAAGGAAGTGTGTGGTTTCTCAGAGCACACCCTGTTCTCATGCTCCTCCCACTCACTGCCCAATCTTTCCTCTCCTTCACTTCCAGGCTATCTTTAGAGAACTTCAGAATACAATAATGAAAACCATGTCTTTGATCATTAAACACCAAAAAGTAACTCTGCTACTCTCCTCATGAAGAGCATGTCACTTTCTACACTTGAGAGATCAAATCTGAAATCCAGACCCACAGGAAGGTGACGTGCCACTCTCCTTGGGTAATCCCTAGGGTCATTTCGCTGCAACAACATGCTTAACAGCTCAATTGAAGAACCTAGAAGAGATGCCATTGAGGCCACTTTCCTACAGTAATTCTAAGATTTACGCAGCCTCTGTGGAAGACCTGAATATGATGACCATAGAAAAGTAGCCCCATTAAAAAAAAAGTAGAAATATCACAAACTTAAAGTGTGTTTGTAGATCATATAAATTCTCACCATGCAAACTCTGATCTGTCCCCAATACATTCCACTCCGTGGGCAGCTTCAGGTGCCTGAATGCCAGCACCAACTTCTTATCAAGGGAATTCACATCCCCAGATGGGGGTCCTGACTGGTCAAGAAAACGGGTAAAGTTCAAAGCCTGCTGATTTCCAGCACTGGTTGCTAGGAATTGAGCTGCATCATACGCTTCATCCTGGACGAAATGAAAGTCTTCTTCAGCCACCACAAACACGGGAAGGCCCTCTTTGGAAGCACAGAGCTGCACCTTCACTGTTTCACAACAATCATGACCTAAAGGAAACACAGGCAGCAAATAAAACAGTATTAGAGCCTCACTGCTGAAAGGACGCTAGTGGATCCTCTTAGCTCTTATTTCACGACATACAAATTTCTCCTCCTAAAAAACACCCCCTCCTTCCTCTTGAGCTCTGACAGCATTTTTCCAAACTTCTTAAAACTCCATTTTCAGCTTTTAACATTATTTGCAAATATGAATTCCCTTAACAAAAAACAAAAAACTTTGTATCCCAGCTTTCACCATGCCTATAACATGGTATCTGGAACCGAACAGGCTCTGAATGTCAACAAGGGCTATTCAATTTGAACATATTTAAGAATGAAAGCTGAAGGACCTTCAAGGCATAGCATATGATGGAAAGTCCAATAGCTACTGAACTAAATTAGATCTGAAAACATAACAGGAAAAAATATCACTCATACAAGTTATATAGCAAGAATTTTACAGATTCACTAGCACTTGCTTTATTATCACGATACAAAGGCTCACATGATGAAGCACTTGGAAAAGTACATAATTACTTGATTTTATTTTACTACTATGAGCAATCCAAGGCCTAAAAAATAAGTAATGATTTTTGTTCTCAGATACACATTATTTCCCATCTCAACCACTAATGTAATGAGGACTTCAATGAAATTACCTGGTTTGCATGAGGATAATGCAATGCTGTGGCTGGGAGCCCAGTTCAGGAAACGCAAACATGCCAAGGACTCCATGGTGCCCAGTGTACAGACTGGCAGGCACCTCAGGAGTGATGATTGGAGGCAGAAAACTGCATGCCACTCCAAAGAGTTCGGCTGCAGACAGGTCAGCAAGATTTAACACCACGTGTCTATGGGTAAGACCTTCTTGGACAATTGGGCTTTCTTTTGAAATTTTAGCCTCACAGAATTAAATATTTCCAATATTCAGAATATACTCATCACAATGAACACTATTTCCCCTGTTTTCACACACTGATCTCAAATAGCCAGAACTATGCTCCTATCACCATCCTTCTCCCATTATCTTTCTGATGACAGAAAAGAAAGTAGAGTTAATGTTTTTGTTTGGGTAACGCCACTTTGTGCTCTGCCTGATTAATCATGGGCACCCATGCACGTGCCACTTCCCTGAATCTCTAACACATTCAGACTGCTCTTCTACAGCTAAGGGCATGGAGGGAAACCCTCTACATGGTCCCTGCGACTGAATTTCCATACCACGGGCACAGGCCAACAGAGGTTTCAGACTTGGAATGAACTAAGCTTTCTGCTGTCTTTGAAAGAGACAATGTTTCTTCCATGTAATCAGAATAATAAGTAAGTTAATTTTCCACATGCTTTTTTCCCAAGGGCCTCCTTAAGCCCTCATCCTGTGGCAAGAGAAATCTCTCACTGCTGTGTA